>NT_187682.1:0-176103 GCF_000001405.40 Homo sapiens
TGGCTACATGCGCCTGGTGGTACGCGAGTTGGAGAGCCAGTTGCAGGACGCACGCCAGAGCCTGGCTTTGCAACGCCGCTCATCCTGGAAGTCTGTTGCCAGCCGCTGTAAGCCCCAGGCTCCTAACCACCGAGCTGCGGGCCTGGAGAATGGCCACTGCCTCTCCAAGGACAGCAGCCCTGTGGGCTTGGTTGAAGAAGCGGGCAGCAGGTCTGCAGGGTGGGGGTTGGCTGAGTGGGAGCTGCAGGGCCCTGCCAGCCTCCTCCTAGGCAAGGGGCAGAGCCCTGTGTCCCCTGAGACCTCCTGCTTCTCTACCCTGCATGACTGGTATGGCCAGGAGATCGTGGAGCTGCGGCAGTGTTGGCAGAAGAGGGCCCAGGGGAGCCACTCAAAATGTGAGGAACAGGATAGGCCCTAAGTCTGGGCCCTTTGAGTCAGGAAACCAGGGCCAGTTCTTTTTCAGGAGTTAAATGTTTACCCATTTCCAAGGTTGCGTTTTGGGAGGGGACATGGGTTCTCTCCTTCCTGCTATTTAGGCATTCTCCAGGTTCGAGATCCACCCGTGTGTCTGGAAGGGACTGCGGGACCATTCCTTCCATCCTCTTTATTTCCTGAGGTCCAGAGAAGGAAGGAGACTTAGCAGCCACAGAGCAAGACCCCAATCTCCTGACTGCACTGGCCTGACTGCCCCCTCCCAGGGGATGTTAATGAAATGAAGGAAGTGGGGAATGTCACCCGAGACTGTCACAGGCTTGCCATACCTTTGGCCTACACACCGGGCTCTAGAGCCATAATTTCCAACCTGGGGAGTCTCCTGTGCACTTAAATCCGAGGTAGGCTGCAGTATCGGCTTGAAGCTCTGACACTGTCAGAGAAAGTGGATTTATTGTGTCATAGGAGTTTCTGGGACCCAGCTCTTCCTGAGAGGGGTGGGAAGATTGGGGATGGGATCCTCACTCAGCAGTCTGGGTAGGGCCCTTTGAGGCAGAGGGTCTTCGGCCAGTGAAGAGAGATTTATTCTGCTCAGAGTGCTGGGGTCCCATCCTTTCTCCCTGGCTGCCCTGTTAACAGATGGTGCTGGACCTTGCCCCGGAAGGGGCTTGTAGCTTTTTTACGTCAACGAAATGCCCTCCTGTACTCTGTCTTCAGCAGCCAACTCCTGGAGCTGCCAAGTGAGGGGTTAAAGAAGAGGTGGGGAGGCAGTGTGGCTCCCTGGGAAAAGTCTGTTGCTTTGGTTCTCAGTCCTGGGTATTCTAGGAGCTTGGACACGGGATTGCGTTTCCTGTGCTAAAATTCTCTCTCCTGGCTGGGCTCCGGTAAACTGAAGCTGCTCGAGAAATCACCTGGGAACTCTCATAGCCGTTTGTCACCCAGGGTGTACTTGCCAGGACCTCTCCTTGCTACTCTTCCCAAAGTCGGGAGGCAAAGCGGCTGGGTCACCAGAGCCTGACCATACTGACGCTCCAGGGGGAAGACGCAGAGGCCGGGAAGAGACACCCCCTCCCAAACACATAAAACTTGCCCCTTCCTAGCCTCGGCTCCCCTCACTGGGGCCTTGGGCAGGACCGACCCGCATCCAACTAGGCCTAAGGGGTAGGCTCTGAGCCTCTTACCCCTAAGAGGCGGAGATGCGCCCAAGGCGGGCGCCCGGCCTGTTCCCCAGCCCTGCCTGGAAGCCCCGCAGCCACTGCATTTTGTTTAAACACAGATAGCACGGGCCTTTCTCTTATTGCTACAGTGTTTTGTACACGGTTAAAACACTAGTAAAGCTTTTTCGTTATTACTCCTTCCGCTCCCTGGGTTTATTTCCACAACCGGCCGCTGAGGCCTGTTCTGACGGCCGGGCGGACCCAAGACCGCGGCCACGCCCAGCAGGACGCGGACTGAGGGAGCCGGGGCTGCGCCGCCACTCTCGTGACGCCACCATGCCGGCCAGTGACAAACACCTCCCTCCCGCCGCCCCAGGAGCCGCCGGCACTGCGCGAGTGGGAGGGCTGGGCTTCTCGTGTACTCCTCAAACTCTCGCGAGGCTTCGGGCGGCTTTCTTCCCGAGGGCGGCACGAGGGCTGGGCGGTGGGGTGCGGGTGCCCGGGTGAGGGGCGGAGCTGGGGGCATGGCGTCCGGAGCGGCTCGCTGGCTAGTATTGGCACCCGTCAGGTCCGGGGCTCTCCGGAGCGGGCCTAGCTTGAGGAAAGATGGCGATGTCTCCGCCGCATGGAGCGGCTCAGGCCGGAGCCTGGTACCGTCGAGGTCAGTCATCGTTACCCGCAGCGGCGCCATTTTGCCCAAACCGGTGAAAGTGAGTGTCCTCCTGGAGACGGGGCGAAGGGGCTGAGGCCAATCATTGTGGGGAGTGCGTGAGGGCGGCGCTGATTGATAGGAGCCAAGGCCAATCATAACGATTACCGTAGACTGGAAGGCGGACCAAGAATACGCTAATGAGTTGCTAATTTTGACAGGTGTGTAGAAAATGGTAGGTAGACAGAAGATGGGGGGCAAACGCTGAGGAAGTTGGCCTTTTACATTAGCTTGTCCTGAGAGGTGCGGTGCTCTGCTCCTCTGGAGTCAGAAGACTAGGCCGTGTGCTTCTAGCTTAGAGCAGTCCTGTAATCTCTGCCCTGCCTGTCTCCTAGTTTATGGGATGAAATATGAATTTTGAAAGGACTCTGTAAATAAAGGGTACGTGGGACGGGCCTCATCTTTTTATTAGTTGTCACCTAATATTTAATTCATGTGATTTACAGTCCTGATAGATGTGCAGGGAATTATTACAATCACGGGTTTTCAAATGAAGAATCGGGCTAGAGCGGTGAAGCTCGTATCCAAGGCCAGCGCTGAGGACGCAGCATCCGGGTTTCTTCCTGGTACCGTCCCCACCAGGTCCTGTCTTTTTCCAACACTGAACGCTATCACATGCTTGAGTTTTTCTAGGGAAAACGGAAACAGTCCCTTATATCAAGCGAAAGTTTGCTTTACGACTGCAGGGCTGTGTGGTGTGGGAGTTAAAAAAACAAATTCTCTTAAAGCTAGTCTAGCCTATGCTAACTCACACAATTGACTGTAGGTCCATGTTGGGAAAGACCTGCCTTATCAAAACAGTTGAAAAAAAAATTTTTTTAATTCTAGGAATACGAGAGAAATGTTGCTGAGATTTTACTGACATTCTCCCAATCCATCTAAAGTCTTTGAGTGTAAATACATGCCCACTTTCAAATACATCTGTTTCTAAAATTTTTAAATCAAATTTCTCAGGCATCAGGGAACCTGTTACTTAGTGAACTGTGTAGAATATCCCTTCACTGTACATCTTTCTGTCATCGGTTTTCGTGTATTTCGTGTTCAGGCAGAGCTCACCGTAGTCTGGCCCTCCTAGTACTGGTGCACCCGATTGCCTGTAGGGATTTAAAGTAATTAGCAGGCTGTGTCCTAACTTTAGATGTCTAGGGTGCCTTAGACTTTTCTTTCCAGTGGACTTTTCGTCCATTTTGATGGCCATAACAGTCACCTTATCTCCTTTTTTTTTTTTTTGAGACGGAGTCTCACTCTGTCACCCAGGCTGGAGTACAGTGGCACAATCTTGGCTCACTGCAGCCTCCGCCTCCCGGGTTCAAGTGATTCTTCTGCCTCAGCCTTCTGAGTAGCTGGGACTACAGGCATGTACCACCACACCCGGCTAATTTTTTGTATTTTTAGTAGAGACGGGGTTTCACTATGTTAGCCAGGCTGATTTCGAACTTCTGACCTCGTGATCCGCCCGCCTCAGCCTCCCAAAGTGCTGGGATTACAGGTGTGAGCCACTGCGCCCGGCCTTTTGTCTTTTTTTTAGACAGAGCCTCACTCTGTCTCCCAGGCTGGAGTGGAATGGTGCAATCTTGGCTCACTGCAACTTCTGCCTCCTGGATTCAAGCAATTATCCTGCCTCAGCCTCCCGAGTAGCTGGGATTACAGGTGCGCACCACCATGCTGGGTCAATTTTTTGTATTTTTAGTAGAGACGGGATTTCACCATGTTGGCCAGGCTGGTCTCAAGCTCCTGACCTCAGGTGGTCCACCCACCTCAGCCTCCCAAAGTGCTGGGATTAAAGGTGTGAGCCACCCTGCCTGGCCTTCTCCTTTTCTAATTACTTTTCTTGCCCTGAATTTTTCCAAGGACTTTAAAATCAAGTTGCTTATGATGGGTCTGAGGGTATGTCTGTGAGAGGGCCAGGTCTTCTTTGGTCCTGCCAGAGTGGGCTCTGGAGCTCACAGCTGCCACTCTGACCCTCTGCAGATGTCCTTCGGCCTTCTCCGTGTGTTCTCCATTGTGATCCCCTTTCTCTATGTCGGGACACTCATTAGCAAGAACTTTGCTGCTCTACTTGAGGAACATGACATTTTTGTTCCAGAGGATGATGATGATGATGACTAACAGGTAAGACTTGCTTTACCCTAGATGGAGCAGGAAGCAGGGTGGAGCATCTGTCTGTGATGCAGTCTGGCCTGGTAGCAGCATTTGGACACTGGGGGCAGAAGCATTAATGAATTGGCCCACTTGGTGGCTAATGTTTTCGTTTGTTTGTTTTTTGAGACGGAGTTTCGCTCTTGTTGCCCAGGCTGGAGTGCAATGGCATGATCTCGACTCACTGCAACCTCTGCCTTCCAGGTTCAAGCGATTCTCCTGCCTCAGCCTACCGGGTAGCTGGGATTACAGACATGCGCCACTGTGCCTGGCTAATTTTGTATTTTTAGTAGAGACGGGGTTTCTCCATGTTAGCCAGGCTAGTCTCAAACTCCCGACCTCAGGTGATCCACCCACCTTGGCCTCCCAAAGTGCTGTGATTACAGGCGTGAGCCACTGCGCCCAGCCAACTTCATGTGCTCTAATATGTGCTGCATGGCATTCTGTCAAGAGATGAGGACACTCCTGTTCCTTAGCCTGGCATTCAAGGCTTGCCATAATCTGGTCACACCTCTTATTCCAGTCTCATCTTCCATATTTCCAGCCACACACCGATTCCCAGTATTCACCATTTCTTGAGTTTTCACACTCATACCCACCCCCAAACATTGGCTCATTGTTCCTCCCACATGGAAGGCTCCTTCCCAGAGCTCTGGGTCTTAATTCCACCCATTCTACAGTGTCTTTGAAGTCTTCGTTCCTCCTTTCATTTGAAAGTTGACGGCTCCTTCCTCTAAGCAACCAGTACCTCTCTTCAAATACTCGGTATTATGTGGCTAAACACACACAAAGCAAAATTTTACTAGACTCTGAGCTTCTTGCTGGCAGGGGACGTTTTTTATACATTGCGGCCCCCAGTGCCTGGCCTGTGGTGAATGCCCAGTTAACGTGCGCATGAACAACCAAACGTGCTCAAAGCTGCCTTTCTCCTGCCATGTTTGATAGAAGCACTTTGTGGAATTCTTTCAGTCTGCGGATGGAAGACTACGCTGTTGCCCAGTTCACTGCTGCTTTCCTTTCTTACAGGAATTACAGAAAGGAGAAAGCACTAACTGAAGAAATGGTGATGCTCTCAGTTTCTCTGCCTTCCCTATCAGCAGAAAGGCTCGGGGAAGGCCCTCAGCCTCCCAGTCTGGTGAAGCTTCCTGTATGGTCCATGACCGTATTCCACCCCAGGCTCTGGGAGGCTCCCTGAGATGTGCTGTCCACTAAGCACTGCACAAACAAGCAATCAAATTATGAATAAACATAATAAATATCAGCCGTGCGTGACTGAGTGATGGCTGCAGTTTCTCAGTATCCCTAGGTTCTAGTTGGTGCAGTTGTCTCTGCTGTCCTTTATTTATGGGAGAAACATAGGCCCAGGCTATCCAGGCTGCAGTGGAGCCTGGTGAACTATTCTGGGGGCCCTGGGAACTATTTTCATTGTTTACAAAAGCCCAACAGAAACTGTGCATTTTCCCTTAAGAAAGCTTCATGGGCTAACTAAAGCCTCATGCCATTCTGTGTTCAGTGCCAGTCATGACAGCTCTGCTTGTTAGCATACTACTTAAATATAACTAGAATGATTCAAAACTCGGGTTCTGTGATATGAGGATATAGATAGGTTTTCATCTATTTCCTGGCTTATAACTCCCAAAACCCTTGTTTTAGGCTTTTGTTATAATGTTGGGCACTTCGGGCCTCAGAAAACAGCAGGCTGTTTCTCAGATCTTCTCCTGACCTCCTTTCACCTGCTGCTTTTTCTCCCCAAGGCAGGCCATAGAAACTAAAAGTATAATCTTCCTTTGCCCGTCTTCCAGTTGGCCATAAAAAGAATCCTCTGACCTACCTTGTCTGATTTTAGGTCATGAGACCCCCATTTCAGAAGGGATTCTGCCCCATACCTGAGAGGAAGAAATGTAGACAGGCCTTGTTGGACTTCCCCACTCCATCTGTATTAGATTATGCCTCTTTTGTCCAATCCCATTTCTCCAGTGTTGTCCATGCTTCAATCATCCCTATCCAATGAGGTCTCCATAAAAGGCCCAAGAAGACAGGTTTAGAGAGCTTTCGGAGAACAGAACACTTGGCTTTGCAAAGTGGCACGCCTGGAGAGAACTTGGAAGCTCCACGCCCCTTCTATACCTCACCCTATGCATCTCTTCAGCTGTATCTTTTGTGATATCCTTTATAATAAACCAGTAAACGGACCTAAGTGTTCCTCTGAGTTCTGCAAGCTGCTCCAGCAAATTAAAAAGAAGGGGTCAGCCAGGTGCGGTGGCTCACACCTGTAACCCCAGCACTTTGGGAGGCCAAGGCGGGCAGATCACAAGGTCAGGAGAGCGAGACCATCCTGGCTAACACAGTGAAACTCTGTCTCTATTAAAAAATAGAAGAAATTAGCCGGGTGTGGTGGCGGGCACCTGTAGTCCCAGCTACTCGGGAGGCTGAGGCAGGAGAAGAATGGCGTGAACCCGCGAGGCAGAGCTTGCAGTGAGCCGAGATGGCACCACTGCACTCCAGCCTGGGCGACAGAGTGAGACTCCATCTCAAAAAAAAAAAAAAAAAAAGAAGGGGTCATGGGAACTTGAAGCTCAGAAGTTCTGGAGGCTTGGACTTGTGAATGTTGTCTAATGGGGGTGGGAGCAGTCTTGTGGGACTGAGCCCCAAACCTGTGGAATCTGTTGCTATCTCCAGGTAGATAGTGTTCGAAGAGAATTGGAGGACAGGCAGCTGGTGTCTGCTGCAGAACTGACTGCTTGCTTAGTGTGGGGAGAAACCCTCATAACGTTTGATCACAGAAGTCTTATGTGTTTATTGTTATTGAGTGAGAGAACACAAAAACACCTTGAGTTTTTCCCTCAGGTTCCTTACGTGAAAAGATTATAAAGGGATCCTTGGTGCCATAAGGTTTGGGGCCATGCACAATGGCTGATGCCTGTAGTCCCAACACTTTGGGAGGCGGAGGCAGGAGGATCACTTGAGCCCAGGAGTTCAAGACTGGCCTGGGCGCGGTGGCTCACGCCAGCACTTTGGGAGGCCACGGCGGGTGGATTACTTGAGGTCAAGAGTTTGAGACCAGCCTGGCCAACATGGTGAAACTCCGTCTTTTCTAAAAATATAAAACTAGCTGGATGTGGTGGTCCATGCCTGTAATCCCAGCTACTTGGGAGGCTGAGGCAGGGAGAATTACTTGAACCAGGAGGTGGAAGGTGCAGTGAGCCAAGATCACACCAGTGCACTCCAGCCTGGGCAACAACAGCGAGACTCCATCTCAAAAAAAAGAAAAGAAAAAAAGACCAGCCTGGGCAATGGAGAGACGCCATCTCTATTTAAAAAAAAAAAAAAAGTATGGGAGTCCTCAGTGATCATACCTATAGATTCCAAACCCCTTCTCCATCATTTGGATTGCCCTGGGAAGCACAAGAGAAGACCACCATCCAAACAGAGATCAGTTCTTGAACCTGTGTTGATGTTTATTCTGCCACTGAGAGGTACACCAGGGTTTCCAAAGACAGTAGGAATATTTCTGTTCTCTGTGTATATTGAACAGCTGTGCACCTAAGCAGGGTGCCTGAGTAGGAAGTTAATTTCATTTTAAGGGCTGGAGCTTGTTACAAGTAGCGGAGCCAAGCCTTTGCACATCCATTTTCTTCAGAACCCAAGGAAAACTAGCCCATCTTGACAGCTCTACTTTTGCGCCTGTTAGTGCTGCCCTGATCCCTGACAGGAAGAGCTGGCTAATTTTAGATAATCTGTGCCCTGACACTGAAGTGTCTAATCATAGGGGCTATAGAAACAACTACATTAACAAGTCGTCCAGCCTCATGCCCAATGTCACAATTTTTGAACAGATGGCCTCCTTCCTTCCTGTTTACTGACATGCAAGGCTCTGAGAAAAATAATTCAATCCAATTTACAGCAAACACCACATTTCAAGAAAAGGGAAAGAACAGGTGATGTGTATACCAAGGTCCCACTTGCTCAGGCAAAAAGAGGCTGCAGAAAATTGGTTCATCAATGGAATTCTATCACAAAGTGACCATTGTATAGTGAGTTTATTTGTGCTCTAAAATAGTATCAACGTGCATCTTTCCACTGAATGACTTCATGGATCGTGGCCAACATAGAACTTGGATAGGAAATCCTTTGGCCTTGGCGCTTCTGTTTCATGGAAGAACCGCATAACATGTGTCCGCTGCTTCCATACTTTAATTGTTTCTTCCAGTTCGATCTTTCCCTGAACAGTGAGGAGAGAGGTCATCAGTCAAAGTTGTCAAGTTGAAGGCATATGACACTGAAGGCCAGGATTCTATTCTCTGCTCAGCATGGACTTGTTGAATGACCTTGGGCAAGTAACTACTCTGTCTGGGCAAAGTTTCTATGTCTGGACAATGAGGTGGTCAGGGTAAATCATTTCTGACACTTTTCAGATTCTTTAACTCTGTGGTTAACTGGTACCAAGAGGAGAAACATACAGGTTAACAGGCTCCTATCCCATGACTACCTAACCTGACTGGCTTAACTTATGTTTCTGCTTATCATTTCTTCTGTTACTGACTGGTCTATGCTGAAGCTCCCATTGATGCTAACGTGACTGGCCAGGGGGACAGAATCAGCCCCAGGATTTGAGTCCATTTATACAGGACTCATAACCACCCTAACTGCCTCTTCCAGCTGTAAACTGGCATTCAGATGAAGTGGTAACTTCTAGGGATGAGGTTCAAGAAGAGTTCAAACTTTCCTCCCTATATCTTTTTTTATGGTTATAAAATGCAAGTCCCAGTGGATGTTCCCTTGATGAATCTTATCTATTTAACCAGATGATAACCTCCAAGTTCAAGTATTTCTCTGAAACACAGCAATAATCACTGCCGAACCAGTAGCTGCTTTCTAAACTTGGAGACAAAATGTTCATTTGGAAAGACTAAGAAGTAGTGGACAAGTTGGCTGATCTTTTAAATTGGTCAGGGAGGGTCAGTTACCTTAATGACCAGAAGATCAACCACCCTGGGGTCTGTGACATGGGCATTCTTCATAAACATTTCTCGGACTTTATCCCGTCCCATTTTCACAGTGATGTCCAGCTGGAATTGGTGCACTAGAGAGAAAAACATGACTCAGGGTAGAAATTGTATGGTTAAATAAAACCTAGAGTCAAATGATACTCATTGAACACATACAGGTCGCCCATTCATTTCTTCACCAAAAAATTAGCCTGACCCTAGGCTAGGTGCTTGAGGATGAGACATGTGATTCATGGTATTTGCTCTCAAGGAACTTATTATTTGTTTGGGGAAAAAGACCACTGAATTTGAAGAGGCAGTAAAGCATTGTTCAAGAGTTTGAACAACCTGGGTTCAAATCCCAGCTTTTGTTAGCTATATGATCCCGTGTAAGTTAACTTTCTTGTGCCTGAGTGTATTTTTTAAAAAATTATTTTATGGGCTGGGCGCGGTGGCTCACGCCTGTAATCCCAGCACTTTGGGAGGCCGAGGTGGGCGGATCATGAGGTCAGGAGATCGAGACTACCCTGGCTAACACAGTGAAACCCCGTCTCTACTAAAAATACAAAAAATTAGCCGGGTGTGGTGGTGGGTGCCTGTAATTCCAGCTACTCGGGAGGCTGAGGCAGGAGAATGGTGTGAACCCGGGAGGTGGACCTTGCAGTGAGCCGAGGTCGCACCACTGCACTCCAGCCTGGGTGACAGAGCGAGACTCCGTCTCAAAAAAAATAATAATTATTTTATTAGCTGGGCGCGGTGGCTCACGCCTGTAATCCCAGCACTTTGGGAGGCCAAGGCAGGTGGATCACCTGAGGTCAGGAGTTCAAGACCAGCCTGGCCAACATGGTGAAACCCCGTCTCCACTAAAAATACAAACATGAGCCGGGCATGGTGGTGGGTGCCTGTAATCCCAGCTACTCGGGAGACTGAGGCAGGAGAATCACTTGAACCCGGGAGGTGGAGGGTGCAGTGAGCTGAGATGGGCCACTGCATTCCAGCCTGGGTGACAGAGTGAGACTGTGTCTCAAAAAAAAAAAAAAAAAAAGGCTGGGCGCGGTGGCTCACGCCTGTAATCCCAGCACTTTGGGAGGCCGAGGCGGGTGGATCATGAGGTCAGGAGATCGAGACCATCCTGGCTAACAAGGTGAAACCCCGTCTCTACTAAAAATACAAAAAATTAGCCGGGCGCGGTGGCGGGCGCCTGTAGTCCCAGCTACTCAGGAGGCTGAGGCAGGAGAATGGCGTGAACCCGGGAAGCGGAGCTTGCAGTGAGCCGAGATTGCGCCACTGCAGTCCGCAGTCCGGCCTGGGCGACAGAGCGAGACTCCGTCTCAAAAAAAATAATTATTATTTTATTAGCTGGGCGCGGTGGCTCACGCCTGTAATCCCAGCACTTTGGGAGGCCAAGGCAGGTGGATCACCTGAGGTCAGGAGTTCAAGACAGCCTGGCCAACATGGTGAAACCCCGTTTCTACTAAAAATACAAAAGTTAGCCAGGTGTGGTGGCACGCAACTATAATCCCAGCTACTCGGGAGGCTGAGGCATGGGGAAATCACTTGAACCCGGGAGGTGGAGGTTGCAGTGAGCCAAGATCGCGCCATTGCCCTCCAGCCTGGGAGACAAGAGCGAGACTCTGTCTCAAAAAAAAAAAAAAAAAAAAAAGTGAGTTATCATTACTGTTTTTTTCATTAAATACTTAAAATTTTACTTTTGTTTTTTATTAATGCTCAGGCTGTTCTAAGTTCTCAACACTATTACTTATTCCCCTTCCTTGATTTGATTCCTCAGCTGGAGTCCTGATGATGGATACCATAAAACCCGTGTGGCACAGGTTTGAGTAACTGGCCAGCTACAGATCACTGATCTTCCCCATAGGGATGCATACTCCTTGACCCCTTCTTTTCTCTCCTCTTCCCTTGCTTTCTAGGCTCCTGTAGCCCTCTGCCTTCTTTTCCTCCTCTCAAGACCCTTCTGACTTTGGGACTTTCTTCCCAAAACAGAATTTGAGGGAAGGTCTTGGGAGGGGTCGGTTTAGAAAGAGCTGGATCCTCAGAGTCAGGATACCTGGGTTCTGTCTTCTACTTGGCCACTGATTTACCCTTCACAAGCCACCCTTTTTGAATGTGGTCCTCCTTCCCCCAGCACCTTCCTCCTGCAACCAGAGAGGGTTCTGGGTACTCCTAGAAGTATTCTGCCAGGCAAACATTATGTTTTCAAACTGCTGAATTTGAATGCACCACCCCGAAACACACACACACACACACACACACACACTGCTACAGTCACTCCCCACACACATCTTTTATCTGCCTGCCCCTGAAGGCATCTGAATTTGCAGTCCCTGAACCAGCAGATCACTCAAGTTTCTCCTTCTCTAGTATCGCGTGGGTTTAAGTTCTGGTCAGTAGCAATTTTTCCAAAAGTCAGCTTGAAGACAGGGACTCTGTGGAGCAGACACAGTTCTCATATGTCAAAGAACCGGGTTCTGCTTGGAAGCTGCTGCTAAGGAAAGCCCTATAAATAACAAAAATAACAACAAAAACAACGGCAGCAGCTAATATTTAATGAGTTAAATATGCATCAAGTCCTGTTCTAAGCACTCTAGATATTTTAACTTAATACAGTAACCTTCTGAAGAAGGAATTATTATTCCCATTTTAAAGATGAAGAAACTGAGGAATAGATGAAATAACTGGCCCAAGGTCACACAGCTAGTTGAGGGCAGCGCCTGAAGAAAAGTCCGTGCTCCTAACCACCACATTCTACCGCCTTTTCACACACACAAGCAGGGACTCGACAGCCCTGAGGAGTGGCACCGTGCTCCAGCTCACTCAAAAACACCTCTTTCTCGCACTTTGGGAGGCCGAGACGGGCGGATCACGAGGTCAGGAGATCGAGACCATTCTGGCTAACACGGTGAAATCCCGTCTCTACTAAAAATACAAAAAAAAATGGCCGGCGTGGTGGCGGGCGCCTGTAATCCCAGCTATTCGGGAGGCTGAGGCTGAGGCAGGAGAATGACGTGAATCCGGGAGGCGGAGCTTGCAGTGAGCCGAGATCGCACCACTGCACTCCAGCCTGAGCGACACAGCGAGACTCTGTCACAAACAAAAAAATCCAACGGGCATCTATAATTACACTCTGCAACTCTAGACTTTGGGTTCTGGGTACAACAGTGGCTCGGCCTGGGCCCTGGGCACATCACTTCACCTCTCGGTGCCTCCGCTGCCTCACCCACAAAGTGAGTGTGTCACTGACAGTCATCGTCCTCCCGCCAATTGCGAAGGACAAAAGAGACCAAAGCTCCGATAGCACGTACGAATGCTAGGCACGGCCGGTCTGACCACCGCGCCGCCGCCAGGTCCGGCCCATGGTAGGCTCGGGTGACCCTCTTCCCCTGAAGCACCCGCAGTCGCCTCTGCCCAAGTTGGTGACCTCAGCTGGGCCCATGAGAAACCCCGGCCGGGCCGGCTACGACCTTGAGCGGCGGCCTCCGGGTCCCCACGTAAGCCGCTACCTCTCACCAGTGTTCGGCACCTCCCGATACCAGGCGCGGTAGAGCTCGCGCACCCTCCGCTTGGCCTCGTTCATGTCCCGACTGAAAATGGGCTTCACGAAGGTGCTGGCGGTAGAAGTAGCTTGGCGGACGCCGCTCCCCGCCATCTTGCCAAAGCATCCACTCCACAACCCCACCCCTTTGCAAGCAGCGCGTGCGGACCGCGGGCGAATGTCTTTTCCCATTGGCTAAGGAGGAACGCCCCGCCTGTATGCTGGGTGGGCGGGAGGATGACTCTGAGGCTCTCGGATTGGCTGGGAAGCCTCTCTCTGGCTGAGCGAACGGTGGGTGCTGCGCATGCTCATCTACAGAAACGCCGCTTGGCCTTTGGACTACACCATCTGTCGCTCGCTCTAACGAGCCGGCGTTGCCGCCAGGGGACGCTCGGGCCGCAGGAGGTCGCTGGGTCGTGAGCTGGCGCCGGGGACGCCGAGCGACTGCGGGGTTTCCCTCAGCGTCCTGCTATCCGGCTGCCCGCCGCGCTCCTTGGTAGTGTCCGTGGGCGCGCAGGCCTTGAAGAACCTCCTCGTGGCGGGACCCCGAGGTAACTGCTGAGGCAGATAATGGCGCCTGGGCTGCGGTGGGGCTTGTCCTGCCGCCTGGCGGCTTTCTGCAGGGCCAGGATATACTTACTTTTCTGTAAACCAACTCTTCCTTAGCGCAGGAGAGGTGTCAAAGAGCTGGCGCGTCTCCAGAGCCCCGGGAGGAAGGCTGTAACGGCAGCCCCATCGTAGACAGGGACATTCGCATCCCGAGCCCTGGATCTCTGAAAACCAGCCCAGAATTTGGAAGCTGGAAGGAACTTTAGATCGTCCATTCTGAGTGTCTCTCTTCGCTGGCGTTTTCCCACTGAGGTTATGTAAACATGAAGAGGAGCCTACAAGTGTCAAGGAAAAAACGACAGCTAACCACAGGGCAGGCCATGGGCAAGATATCTCAGTGTTCTCCGCTCTCATAGGTCAGGTAGGTACCTCAGCATCCCCATTTTACAGGTGAGGAAACTGAGATGGCCCAGAGTCTAGGTCACCTGACAGATCGCCCCCACCTGCCTGACTGCTGCCTAAGAGGCTCCGTCTTTTTCTGAAGGTGTAGTTGACAGGAGCCTGTGAGTATTGGGGAAGGGCCAGGGGCCGGGGCTGAGCATCTACTCCAAACTTTCCCATTTCGAAGGGTTAAAAAACCAGATATACTTTTTTTCTTCCTTATTATCTTCTAAAATGTATATATATATTCAAGTGAGCTATACAAAAGAAAGCACGTAACATATATAAATTATAAAGCATAATAATAAAATGGAAGCTTTTGAACCTCAGTACTGACTTAAGAAGTTGTAACACAGTTAAGGTTTGTATAAAGTGTCCTTAGATGTCCTTAGTAGCCACTGTTCTCTAGTTCTCTAGGTACATTAACTTGGCTAGGCTTCACAACACACCAGTGAGATTGTGTTGATATACCCTTTTTTTTTTTTTTTTTTGAGACAGAGTGAGACTCACCTAGGCTGGACTGCAATGGTGCAATCTCGGCTCACTGCAACCTCCGCCTCTCATGTTCAAGCCATTCTCCTGCCTCAGCTTTCCGAATCGCTGGGATTACAGGTGCGCACCACCATGCATGGCTAATGCTTGTATTTTAGTAGAGACGGGGTTTTGCTATGTTGGCCAGGCTGGTCTCAAACTCCTGACTTCAGGTGATCCACCCACCTCAGCCTCCCAAAGTGCTGGGATTACAGGTGTGAGCCACTGCCCCCGGCTGATATACTCATTTTATAGATGAGAAAACTGAGGCACAAAGAGACTAAGTTACTTTACAGCATTGGGGTTGAAGCCCAGGCAGCTGGTGCCAGAGTCAGTTTTCTGACTCTCGCAGCACCTATACCATGATATCTACCTGTATGATTCTAACCTTGTGTATACCCCTGCCTCCTTCAGAAGTACCCACTATCATGATAAATTCATTGTGTTCAACATTCAAAAAAAAAATGGGGCGCAGTGGCTCACTCCTGTAATCCCAACACTTTGGGAGGCCAAGGCAGGTGTATCACCTGATGTCAGGAGTTCGAGACCAGCCTGGCCAACATGGTGAAACCCCCGTCTCTACTAAAAATACAAAAATTAGCCGGCATGGTGGTGGGCACCTGTAATCTCAGCTACTCGGGAGGCTGAGGCAGGAGGATCGCTTGAGCCCGCGAGGTGGAGGTTGCGGTGAGCCAAGATTGCGCCGCTGGACTCCAGTCTGGGCGACAGAGTGAGACCCTGTCTCAAAAGGAAAAGAAAAAAAAGACCTCTAAACAACCCACAAACTGGGAGAAAATTTTTGCAAATCACATGTTCCATAAGGGACTTGTATCTAGGATACATAAAATTCTTACAACTCAGTAATGAAAAGACAAATAGCCAAGTTTAGAAATGGGCAAGGGAGACAACACCAAATGCTGGTGAGGATGTGAAGCAACAGGAACTCTCCTTACTGGTAGGAACGCAAAATGGTACAGCAGCTTTGGAAGACAGTTTGGCTTTCTGACAAAACTAAACATACTCCCATCAGAAGATCCAGCCATTGCATTCCTTAGTGTTTACCCAAATGAGCTGAAAACTTATGTCCACACAGAAACCTGCACATGGATGTTTACAGCAGCTTTTGTTTTTGTTTTTGTTTTTGAGATGGAGTCTCGCTCTGTCACCCAGGGTGGAGTGCAGTGGCGCGATCTCGGCTCACTGGAAGCTCTGCCTCCTGGGTTCACGCCATTCTCCTGCCTCAGCCTCCAAGTAGCTGGGACTACAGGCGCCTGCCACGAAGCCCAGCTAATTTTTTGTATTTTAAGTAGAGACGGGGTTTCACCATGTTAGCCAGGATGGTCTCGATCTCCTGACCTCGTGATCTGCCCGCCTTGGCCTCCCAAAGTTCTGGGACTACAGGCGTGAGCCACCGCTCCCGGCCAGCAGCAGCTTTATTTGTAATTGCCAAAACTTGAAAGCAACCAAGATGTCCTTTAGCAGGTAAATGGATAAATAAACCTTGGTATATCCAGACAATGGACTATATTCAGCACTAGAAAGAAATGAGCTATTAAGCCATGAAAAGGCATGGAGAAACCTTAAATGCATATTAGTAAGTGAAAGAAGACAATCTGAAAGAGCTACATACTGTATGATTCCAACTATATTACATCCTGGAAAAGGCAAAACTATGGAGACAATAAAAAAGATGGCAGGGGCTGGGAGTGGGGAGAAATGCACAGAGGTGGTGCACAGAGAATATTTAGGGTAGTGAAATTACTCTGGATGTTATAATGGTGGATACATGTTATTACACATTTGTCAAACCCTACAGGATGTACAACACCAAGAATGAAACCTAATGTAAACTATGGGATATGGGTGATACTGGTGTGTCAATGTAGCTTCATTGCTTATAACAAATATATCCTCTGGTGCCTGATGTTGTTGGTGGGGGGAGGCTATGAGTGTGTGTGGGGTGGGGGAACCCTGTATTTTCTGTTCAGTTTTGCTGTGAACTCGAAACTGCTCTTAAAGATGAAATTTTTATTTTAATGGGTAAAGTATTTGAATAACCATTTCTCCAAAGAGGATATACGGGTGACCAATAAGTACATGAAAAGACATTCAACATCATGAGCCATTAGGGAAATAAAAATCAAAACCCTCGTGAGATACCATTTCTCACCCAGTAGAATGGCTAGAGTGAAAAAGGCAGACACAGCCAGTCACGGTGGCTCACACCTGTAATCCCAGCATTTTGAGAGGCCAAGGCCAGTAGATCACTTGGGTTCAGGAGTTTGAGACCAGCCTGGCCAACGTGGTAAAACCTCCTCTCTACTAAAAATAGGAAAATTAGCTGGGCATGGTAGTGCATGCCTGTAATCCCAGCTACTAGGGAGGCTGAGGCAGGAGAATTGCTTGACCCGGGAGGTGGAGGTTGCAGTGAGCCCAGATCATGCCATTTCACTCCAGCTTGGGTGACAGAGCAAGACTCCATCTCAAAAAAAAAAAAAAAAAGACAAAAGATAGTGTTGGCAAGGATATAGAGAAATTAGAACTTTCTATACTTTGCTGGTGGGAATGTAAAATGGTGTAGCCATTTGGGAAAACAGTCTGGCAGTTTCTTAAACAGTTAAATATGGCCAGGAGTGGTGGTACTCACTTGTAAGAGGCCGAGGCAGAAGCATTGCTTGAGCTTAGGAGTTTGAGACCAGACTAGGCAAAATAATGAGACCGTATTTAAAAAAAAAAAAAAAAGTTAAACGTGGACTTACTATATGATCCAGCAATTCCAATCCTAGGTATTTACCCTGAAGAAATTTTTTTCCACACAAAGACTTGTATGCAAATGTTCATAGCAGCATTATTCACCATAGCCAAAAACTAAAAACACCCAAATGGCTATCTGTTGATAAGTGGATAAACAGAAGGTGGTCTGTCACCCAGGCATGGTGGCTCATTCCTATAATGTCAGGATTGCTTGAGGCCAGGAGTTTGAGAACAGCTTGGGCAACATAGTGAGACTGCATCTGTTGAGGGAAGTCAGGAACCCCGAACGGAGGGACCGGCTGAAGCCGTGGCAGAAGAACATAAATTGTGAAGATTTCACGGACATTTGTTAGTTCCCCAAATTAATACTTTTATAATTTCTTACACCTGTCTTTACTGCAGTCTCTGAACATAAATTGTGAAGATTTCATGGACACTTATCACTTCCCCAATCAATAGCCTTGTGATTTCCTATTCCTGTCTTTAATCTCTTAATCCCGTCATCTTCGTAAGCTGAGGAGGATGTATGTCGCCTCAGGACCCTGTGATGATTGCATTAACTGCACAAATTGTTTGTAGAGCATGTGTGTTTGAATAATATGAAATCTGGGCACCTTGAAAAAAGAACAGGATAACAGCAACGTTCAGGGAACAAGAGAGATAACCTTAAACTCTTGACTGCCAGTGAGCCGGGCGGAACAGAGCCATATTTCTCTTCTTTCAAAAGCAAATGGGAGAAATATCGCTGAATTCTTTTTCTCAGCAAGGAACGCCCCTGAGAAAGAGAATGCGTCCCTGAGGGTAGGCCTCTGAAATGGCCACTTGGGGGGTGGCTGTATTTTACAGTCACAGCTGTAGGGATGAAATAAGCCCCAGTCTCCTGTAGCGCTCCCAGGCTTATTAGGATGAGGAAATTCCCACCTAATAAATTTTGGTCAGACCGGTTGTCTGCTCTCAAACCCTGTCTCCTGATAAGATGTTATCAGTGACAATGCATGCCCAAAACTTCATTAGCAATTTTAATTTCGCCCCGGTCCTGTGGTCCTGTGAACTCGCCCTGCCTTCATTTACCTTGTGATATCTTATTACCTTGTGAAGCATGTGATCTCTGTGACCCACACCCTATTCGTACACTCTCTTCCCTTTTGAAATCGATAATAAAAACTTGCTGGTTTTATGGCTCAGGGGGCATCACGGAACCTGCTGACATGTGACGTCTCCCCCGGACACCCAGCTTTAAAATTTATCTCTTTTGTACTCTGTCCCTTTATTTCTCAGACCGGCCGACACTTAGGGAAAATAGAAAAGAACCTACGTGAAATATCAGGGGTGAATTTTGCCCGATAGCATCTCTACAAAAATTTGTTTAAAATAGCCAAGCATGGTGGTACGTGTCTATAGTCCCAGCTACTCGAGGGGCTGAGGTAGGAGGATTGCTTGAAGCCAGGAGTTCGAGGCTACCATAAACTATGATCCTACCACTGTACTCCAGCCTGGGTGACAAAAAAACAAACCTAAACAAAACACAAAATATGGTGATACGGTTTGGATATTTGTCCCTTCCAAATCTCGTCAAAATGTCATCCCCAGTGTTGGAGTTGAAGCCTGGTGGAAGGTGAATGGATCATGGAGGCAGATCCCTCATGAACGGCTTAGCACCATCCCCTTGGTGATGAGTGAGTTCATCTGTAATCTGGTTGTTAAAGGTGTGTGGCATCTCCCGCTTTGCTCTCTTGTTCCTGCTGTCACCATGTGACATCCCTGCTCTCCCTTTTCCTTCTGCTGGGATTTGAAGCTTCCTGAGGCCCTCACCAGGAGCAGATGCTGGAGCCATGCTTGCACAGCCTGCAGAACTGAATCAATTAAACCTCTTTTTCCTCTCTCTCTTTTTTTATTTTTATTTTTTTTGATATGGAGTCTCACTCTGTCACCCAGGCTGGAGTGCGATGGCACGATCTCAGCTCACTGTAACCTCCGCCTCCCGGGTTCAAGCGATTCTCCTGCCTCAGCCTTCCAAGTAGCTGGGATTATAGGCGTACGCCACCATGCCCAGGAGGCAGAGGTTGCAGTGAGCCGAGATCACACCACTGCACTCCAGCCTGGGTGACAGAGCAAGACTCCGTCTCAGGGAAAAAAAAAAAAAACTACCAAATTGTTTTCCAGAATAACTGAATCATTTTACATTCTCATTGGCAATTCATGAGTGATCTAGTTTCTCCACATCCTCTTCTACATTTGGTGTAGCAACTGTTTACATTTAGCCATTTGGAATAAGTGTACAGGGATAGCCCATTGTAGTTTTAGTTTGCATTTCCTTAATGGCTAGTGATATTGAACATCCTTTCCCAAGTTTATTTCCAATGTGTATATTCTCTTTACTGAAGTGCTTTTTCATGTCTTTTGCACATTTTTATTTAGATTATTTATTTTTGAGTTTTGGGAGTTCTTTATATATTCTAGATACTAGTCCTTTATCAGATACGTAGTTTGCAAATATTTTCTCCCACTCTATGCCTTTTCATCCTCTGAACAGGGTCTTTCACAGAGTAAAAGTGCTTAATTTTGATGAAATCTATTTTATTATTTTTCCTGTTATGGATTGTGCTTTTAGTGTCAAGACTAAAAATGCCTTGTGTAGCTCTAGGTCCAGAAGATTTTCTCCTAAATGTTTGATGATGTACATTTAAGTCCATGGTTTGGTTTGGTTTTTGTTTTTTGGTTTTTGTTTTTCTTTGAGACAGTCTTATTCCCTCACCCAGGCTGGAGTGCAGTGGCATGATCTTGGCTTACTGCAACCTCTGCCTCCCAGGTTCAAGCGATTCTGGTGTCTCATCCTCCAAAGTAGCTGGAATTATAGATGCGCACCATCACGCCCAGCTAATTTTTGTATTTTTAGTAGAGACAGGGTTTCACCACGTTGGCCAGGCTGGTCTTGAACTCCTGACTTCAAGTGATCTACCTGCCATGCTGGAATTATAGGCATGAGCCACTGCACCTTGTTGTAATTTTTGTATATAATGTAAGATTTATTTCAAGGTTCATTTTCTTGCCTATGAATATCTGATTACTCCAGAACCATTTGTTGAAAAGCCATTTTTCCTCCATTGAATTGCATCAGCACCTTTGTAAAAAACCAACTGGGCACATATTAGTTGGTGACAAATTCTTTTAGTTTTCCTTCCTTTGAGAATTTTACAATTTCCCCCAGCATTCTTGAAGGATATTTTCATTGGATATGGGATTCTGAGTTGATAGTTTTTTTAACAATGGAAAAGTGTTGTGTCACTTCTTTCTGGTTTCTGTTGTCTCTGATGAGAAATAAGCTGTCATTCAAATTATTTTTTCTATATAAGTAACATATTGTTTTTCTCTGGCTGCTTTCAAAAAATTTTTTTGTTTTGTTTTCAGAAGTTTGACTATAATGTATCTTGGTGTGAACTTCTTTGGGTTTATCCCAATTGGAATTCTCTCAGCTTCTTGAATCTATTGTTTTATGCATTTTGCCAAGTAGGAAAGTTTTCTTTGAATATTTGTTCATTTGATTATTTATTTATTAATGTATTTTTTTGAGACAGGGTCTTGCTCTGTTATCCAGGCTGGAGTACAGTGGCAGAATCATGGCTCACTGCAACCTAGACCTTCCAGGCCGAAGCGTTCCTCCCACTTCAGTCCCCAGAGTAGCTGGGACCACAGGTGTGCACCACCACACTCAATTTTTTTGTTTTTGAGGCGGAGTCTCGCTCTTTCACCAGGCTGGAGTGCAGTGGCATGATCTTGGCTCACTGCAATGTCTGCCTCCCAGATTCCAGTGATTCTCGTGCCTCAACCTCCTGAGTAGCTGGGATTACAGGTGCCTGCCACCATGCCTGGCTAATTTTTGAATTTTTGGTAGAGACGGGGTTTTACCAAGTTGGCCAGGATGGTCTCAATCTCTTGACCTCATGATCCGCCTGCCTTGGCCTCCCAAAGTGCTGGGATTACAGGCGAGAGCCACCACGCCCGGCCCCCTCCTATGTTGTCCAGGCTGGCCCCAAACTCCTGGGCTCAAGCAATCCTTCTGCCTCTGTCTACCAAAATGCTGGGATTACAGGGATGAGCTATCATGCCCCACTCTGATCTTTTATTAACAGTCTCACAGGCCCTGAGGTTGTGTTTATTATTTGTTTCTTTTCTTTTCTTCTTTTTTTTTTTTTTTTTTTTTTTTTTTTTGGTTGAGATGGAGTCTCGCTCTGTCGCCCAGGCTGGAGTACAGTGGCGCGATCTTGGCTCTGCCTCCCGGGTTCACACCATTCTCCCGCCTCAGCCTCCCGAGTAGCTGGGACTACAGGTGCCCACCACCATGCTCGGCTAATTTCGTTTTTGTATTTTTAGCAGAGACGGGGTTTCACCGTGTTAGCCAGGGATGGTCTCGATCTCCTGACCTCATGATCCACCCACCTCAGCCTCCCAAAGTGCTGGGGTTACAGGCATGAGCCACTGTACCGGCCTCTTTTATTTTCTCTTTTCTTTCTTGTTTACTTTTTCCAGTCCATTTTCTCTCTGTTGTTCAGATTGAGTAATTTCTGTTGTCCTGTCTTCCAGTTAACTGCTTGTGTTGTCCTCTTTTCCACTTTTGAGCCCATTCACTGAGCTTTTTATTTCGTTGTTGTATTTTCTATTTCTAAAATTTCTATCTGATTCTTCCTTATATCTCCTATTTCTATGCTGAGACTCTTTTTTATTTTTTCAACATGTTCATAACTGTATTTTTTTTTTTTGAGATGGAGTCTCACTCTGTCGCCCAGGCTGAAGTGCAGTGGCACGATCTCGGTGCACTGCAACCTCTGCCTCCCAGGTTCAAAAGATTCTCCTGCCTCAGGCTCCCGGGTAGCTGGAATTACAGGCATGCACCACCACACCCAGCTAATTTTTGTACTTTTTGTAGAGACAGGGTTTAACCACGTTGCCCAGGCTTGTCTCGAACTCCTGGACTCAAGCAACCAACCTGACTTGGCCTCTCAAAGTGCTGGGATTACAGGCATGAGCCACTTTGCCCGGCCTGAGTTGCATTCCTCTATGAATTTTAGAAAAAGCAATCAATTTCAACAAGAAAATTGCTGGAATTTTTATTGATTACACTGAATCTATAGATTAATTTGAGAGGAACTGACATCTTTAAAATGTTGAGTCTTCTGATTCATGACCATGGTATGGCTCTTCATTGATTTACATCGTCTTTAATTTCTCTCAGCAATGTTTTGTAGTTATTAGTGTATGATTTTGCATGTAGCTTTTGTTATATTTTTTGTCTATGTATTTTATATTTTGGATGCTGTTATAACTGGTTTTTAAGAAGTTTTAATTCCCAATTGTTTATTCCTATTATATAGCAATATAATTGATTTTAATACAGTGATCTTGCATCCTTCAGCCTTGTTAAGCTGTAGTTGCTTTTTGGATGATCCCACAGGATTTTACACACAATCATGTTATTTGAAAATACAGTTTTATTTCTTTCTTTCCAATCTGATTGCCTTTTACTTCTCTTTTTTGACTTGTTCACTGGCTAGAGCTTCTAGCACAATATCATACAGAAGTGATGAGGGTAGACCGGGTGCGGTGGCTCATGCATGTAATCCCAGCACTTTGGGAGGCCGAGGCAGGCGGATCACCTGAGGTCAGGAGTTCGAGACCAGCCTGGCCAACATGGTGAAACCCCATCTCTACTAAAAATACAAAATTTAGCTTGGCGTGATGGTGCACACCTATAATTCCAGCTACTTGGGAGGCTGAGGCAGGAGAATCGCTTGAACCTGAGAGGCAGAGGTTGCAGTGAGCTGAGATCATGCCATTGCACTCCAGCCTAGGTGACAGAACGAGACTCTGCCTCAAAAAAAAAAGCAATGAGGGCAGACTTTTTTTGCCTTAAATTAAGACATTCCTGGCCAGCTGTGGTGGCTCATGTCTGTAATGCCAATACTTTGGGAGGCCAAGGTGGGTGGATCACCTGAGATCAGGAATTTGAGACCAGCCTGGCCAACATGGTGAAACCCCGTTTCTACTAGAAATACAAAAATTAGCTGGGCGTGGCGGCAGGCACCTGTAATCCTAGCTATTCAGGTGGCTGAGGTAGGAGAATCACTTAAACCTGGGAGGCGGAGGTTGCAGTGAGCCAAGATTGTGCCCTTACACTACAGCCTGGGTGACAAGAGTGAAAGTCTGTCTCAAAATAAATAAATAAATAAATAAATAAATAAATAAAGACATTTCTGAACTTAGGAACAAAGCATTTAGTATTTTACCATTGAGTATGTTGCTAGCTGTAGGTTTTTCGTAGATACCCCTCATCGGATTGAAAATGTTTCCATGAATTCCTCGTTTGCTGGGAATTTTCTTTTCTTTGAGGTTCAGATGTTGATTTTGTGAAATATATTTTATGCATCTATTGATATAATCATGGAATTTTTCTTTTTCTGTCTGTTAATATGGTTAATTTCATTTATTGGTTTTTGAATGTTGAACCAACCTTGCATTCCTGGGAGTAAATGCTATAGATAATGTTGTATATATTTACATATTATTTTCAATGTGATAAGATTTTGTTAATATTTGCATCTGTGTTTATGAGGATGTTAATCTGTATCATCTTTACCTGTTTTTTTTTTGTTGTTTGTTTGTTTTTGAGATGGAGTCTTGGTCTGTTGCCCAGGCTAGAGTGCAGTGGCGTGATCTTGGCTCACTGCAACCTCTGCCTCCTGGGTTCAAGTGATTTCCCTGCCTGAGCCTCCCGAGTAGCTGGCAGTACAGGTGCTTGCCACCATGCCCAGCTAAATTTTGTATTTTTAGTAGAGATGGGGTTTCATCGTGTTGGTCAGGCTGGACTCGAACTCCTGAACTCAAGTGATCCGCCTGCCTCAGCCTCCCAAAGTGCTGGGATTACAGGTGTGAGCCACTGTGCCTGGCCCATTAAGGTGCATATGTATTTAGGATTGTGATATTTTCCTGTTGGACTGATTTTTTTTTTTTTTTTGAGACAGAGTCTCGCTCTGTCTGCCCAGCCTGGAGTGCAGTGGCGTGATCTCAGCTCTCATCTCACTGCAAGCTCCGCCTCCTGGATTGATGCCATTCTCCTGCCTCAGCCTCCCGAGTAGCTGGGACTACAGGTGCCCACCACCACACCCGGCTAATTTTTTTGTATTTTTAGTAGAGACGGGGTTTCACCATGTTAGCCAGGATGGTCTTGATCTCCTGACCTCGTAATCCGCCCGTCTCAGCCTCCCAAAGTGCTGGGATTCCAGGTGTGAGCCACTGCGCCCGGCTGGACTGATCTTTTATCGTTATGTAATGTCCCTTTTTGTCTTTTTTTTTTTTTTTTTTTTTTTTTGAGACAGAGTCTCACTCTGTTGCCCAGGCTGGAGTGCAGTGGCGCAATCTCGGTTCACTGCAAGCTCCACCTCCCGGCTTCACACCATTCTCCTGCCTCAGCCTCCAGAGTAGCTGGGACTACAGGCACCCACCACCATGCCCAGCTCATTTTTTTGTATTTTTTTAGTAGAGACGGGGTTTCACCATGTTAGCCAGGATGGTCTCGATCTCCTGACCTCATGATCCACCCGCCTTGGCCTCCCGAAGTGCTGGGTTTACAGGTGTGAGCTACCACGCCTGGCCCCTTTTTGTCTTTTTTTTAACCGTTGTTGCTTTAAAGTCTGTTTGTGTGATATAGGAATAGCTACTCGGCAAGGCATGATGGCTCATGCCTGTAATCCCAGCACTTTGGGAGGCTGAGACAGGTGGATCACGAGGTCAGGAGATTGAGATCATCTTTGCCACCATTGTGAAACCCCATCTCTACTAAAAATACAAAAATTAGCTTGGTGTGGTGGCATGCCCCTGTAGTCCCAGCTACTCGGGAGGCTGAGGCAGGAGAATTGCTTGAACTCAGGAGGCAGAGGTTGCAGTGAGCCAAGTTAGCGCCACTGCATTCCAGCCTGGTGACAGAGCAAGACTTAGTCTCAGAAAAAAAAACAAAAACAAAAAAACATAGCTACTCTT
The DNA here is from genome assembly GCF_000001405.40 of Homo sapiens. NCBI lineage: Eukaryota > Metazoa > Chordata > Mammalia > Primates > Hominidae > Homo > Homo sapiens. Next base: position 25,282 of record NT_187682.1, read on the forward strand.
GGCCAGCTCACATCTATTATCCTAGCACTTTGGGAGGCCAAGGCAGGCAGATCATGAGGTCAGGAGATTGAGACCATCCTGGCTAACATGGTGAAACCCTGTCTCTACTAAAAATACAAAAAATTTAGCTGGGCATGGTGGCGCATGCCTGTAGTCCCAACTACTTGGGAGGCTGAGGCAGGAGAATTGTTTGAACCCAGGAGGCAGAGGTTGCAGTGAGCCGAGATCGTGCCACTGCACTCCAGCCTGGGCAACAGAGCGAGACTCCATCTCAAAGAAAAAAAAAAAAGAATAGCTACTCGTACTTGCTTTTGGTTTCCATTTGCGTGCAGTATCTTTTTCTACCCCTTTACCTTAAGTTTATGTGAGTCCCTATGCATTAGATGAGTCTCTTGAAGACAGCAGATGGTTGGTTGGTGAATTTTATCCATTCTGTGTCTTTTAAGTGGAGCATTCAGGCCATTTACATTCAATGTTGGTATTGAATTATGAGATAGTGTTTTATTCATAGTGATAGTTGTGCTTTTTTAAATTGTGTTATTGTTTTATAAGCCTTTTAAAACATATACTTAAAGGAGGTTCTATTTTTGTTTCAAGATTTAGAACTCCTTTTGACATTTCTTGTAGTGCTGGCTTGCTAGTGGCAAATTCTCTCAGCATTTGTTTGTCTGAAAAAGACTTTATCTCTCCTCATTTATGAAGCATAGTTTTGCTGGATACAAAATTCTTGGCTGGCAATTATTTTGTTTGAGGAGGCTAAAGATAGGACCCCAATCCCTTCTGGCTTATAGGGTTTCTGCTGAGAAATCTGCTGTTAATCTGATAGGATTTCCATTGTAGGTTCCCTGATGCTTTTGCCTCATGGCTCTTAAGATGTTTCCCTTCATCTTGACTTTAGATAACCTGATGACTGTGTGCCTAGGTAATTATCTTTTTGCAATGAATTTTTCAGGTGTTCTTTCAGCTTCTTGTATTTAGATGTTTAGATCTCTGGTGAGAGCAAGGAACTTTTCCTTGATTATTCCCTCCAATAAGCTTTCTAAATGTTTAGATTTCTCTTCTTCCTGAGGAACACCAATTATTCTTAGGTCTGGCTGTTTAACGTAATCCCAAATTTCTTGGAAGCTTTGTTCATTTTTAAAAATTCATATTCGCCGGGCGCAGTGGCTCACGCCTGTAATCCCAGCACTTTGGGAGGCCGAGGCAGGCAGATCACAAGGTCAGGAGATCGAGACCATCCTGGCTAACACGGTGAAACCCCATCTCTACTAAAAATACAAAAAATAAGCCAGGTGTGGTGGCGGTCGCCTGTAGTCCCAGCTACTCAGGAGGCTGAGGTAGGAGAATGCTATGAACCCAGGAGACAGAGCTTGCAGTGAGCCGAGATCACGCCACTGCACTCCATCCAGCCTGGGCAACAGAGCGAGACTGTCTCAAAAAAAAAAAATTCTTTTTTATTTGTCTTTGTCTGGTTGAGTTACTTCAAATGCTTTGTCTTCAAGCTCTGAAGTTCTTTCTTCTACTTGTTGGAGATAAATGTTCAGTGCCACAAAGCGAAACCAGCACTCAGGCAAAAATTTTCTCAGCAAGGCAATTTACTTCTGCAGAAGGGTGCTGCTTGTGTCAATCACGATTGCAAGAGCACACTGAACAAAGGAAAGCAGGGGTTTTTATTCCTAATGCAGTCCCTGCCTCTTTGTCATTCCTCCATGGGCTGTGGTTGGACCGCACAATCTAAACTGACCCAATTGGCTATTTGTGAATACTTTCCCAAATAAGGAAGGGAAGGGAAATGTGAGTTACAATGGTGGGATGTGCGGTTTCAAAGGGAGGAACGGGTGAAGAGTGGGTAACCAAGGGAACAGATGTGAGTTATTGATTAGGACTGACAGGAAAGTTGTTTACAGTTACAGTAACTAGGGGCAAGGAGGCATAGAGAACAAGAAAGTTGAGTTTGAGAACAAAGAACAAGGAAGTTAACAGGCTAAACCTTTGAAGAATTTTATTGTATCCTACAATTTCCCCCTTTTAATTTTTATAGTTCTTCCTCTTCAAACCTTTTTAAGATGTCTTGGCTTTGCTGTTTGACTTGATCGTCTGAAAGGAAACGCTTATCTGAATAAGGTGGAGGAGAGCTAAGGGAGATTTTAGTAAGTGCTGTTTCTATAAGCCTTTGTACTAGCCCATGGTTGCATGGTGTGACACAACACCCAACAAGAATGAGTACACCTATTATGACTGCAAGAGAAGTAAGAATTGAGGCTATGATTCCTTTCTATTTACCAAACCACCTGTCTAGCCATCCTGAAGAAGGGTTATTGACTCCAGAATTTTTAGCTAATTCATTAGATAAAATGGTAAGTCCTTGTAAGGCTTTTGTTATGCTCCCATCTGGGGCAGTATGGTTTGGGATGAAGGTACGACACTGAGTTTTAATCATAACACAAACTCTACCTTTTTCAGCTAGTATCATGCCTAGGGCCATTCTGTTTTCCTAAGCCATCTGGCTAGTCAGCCCTAACTCCTCAGCTATTCCTTTGACAGCATCCCTGGTATAATTAATAAACTGCTGTTGGTTATAATAGATGTAATTTATACAGTCTACATTTTTATTAATAGTTACCCATGGAAATATTGATTCAAATCCTGCAGACTATTTGGTCCCGGGCTTTTAATTTATCAGGTACTCCCCATGGGACTCCAGTTGCATCTAAATAAACTTGAGAGTCAAAAAACCTATAAGGGGCTTCTCTTATTTTATGGTGTTGTGGCTTTTCTTTTTCTGGCTGATGAAACGCCAGGGTGAAAGGGATAGCCAAATGGACAAGAGTGCAGGTACCACTCCAGTTACTTGGCAGAGTGTCCAGTAAGGGTCCGCCACAATACCACCATACATCTTCTTGAGGATGACTAAGGGCAGACTGATGGGTAAGCTCTTGGAAAGGCTTAAGCTCACTGCATCCTGTTAAGCTTCCAAGGAACACCAAGTTTTCCCCTTGTCGTGAGAGACAGGACGTGAAATTGACATTGGGAGCCAGAAGCTGGATGGCCCTCTGGGGCTGACCCGCAGGATATTGAACTTTGGGATAGAGCAAAGAGAGAGCTTGGCATGATTGATTGCCCCAAGCTATGGAATCCTGGAAGAGAGCTACCATGCTGCCCATGCCTGGTTGACTGGGGGACCAGCCGAGTGTAAAGGGGTCTATCTGGGTCTCTGGCTGGCCGTGAGCACAAGCATAACAATTGCTTTTGTTTCATGTGCGGACAGAATATTTGGTCCATTCCAACCAGGCATTTGCATCTTGATATTTTGTTTCAATTGCTAAAGTTTGCCTTAGATCATTTACTTCTACAATATCTACTTTAGTCTTATCATTGGGTATAGAAGGTATGGCAGTCTGATTAGAAGAAGGCTTAGAAGGAGAAGAGAGGGAAGAGGGTGAAGAGGATGAGGGATTAATAAAACGCATTTCAAAAGACCCTATGAGGTCTGTGCCGCGTTGGTCCCTATGCCATAGAAGCGACTCAAAGTAGGTCTAGAGGGTCGGTAGAGGCCGGAGTGAGAGTAGAAATCTGCACTGGATTACACTGGTTATACTGAAAATCGAGGGGAGGGGTGCTTCCTTTAGTAAAGTGAATGTATGATTTTAAGTATATACAGCCACATGTTGATGAGGTCCAGCCTTGATACTCAGTTGTCCACAGAACATCATTCCAGCTATGGCAGACCTGTTTCCCTATATTTTATGAGGAGCAAGAGTCTTGGTAGCGGGAGCCTTTTATTTTAAAGTGGCAGAGATACTTTTCTAAGGCTGAGAGTTGCCTTTGACTTTGGAGATCTCTACAGGGTATGACTAAACAGGCATCAAACATAATAACTTGGGGTGAGTTTGATTTAGTCACATTGATAACAAGGTGGTCAGCAACAGAATGAGGAAAGAAGAAAGAGTAATAGAGTAGACGAAAGAGAGTTAAACTTTTCTTAGCTTTAGTTTGAGGGGGTTTTCCCCTGGGATAATGGCCCATGACTCTGGAGGTGACAGTGCTTTCTTGACTCAGGTGTGATGGGTCTATCCTTTTTCTGCTGTCCGGACTGCAGTTTCAGTGGTTAGAAGCACCAGGTAAGGTCCTTCCCAGGCTGGCTCAAGTTTCTCCTCTTTTCAGCTCTTGATAAGGACGTGATCCCCAGGCTGATGTTGATGTACTGGGAACTCCAGAGGCAGAGCCTGTGCTAGGAGACCTTTGGTTTTAAGAAAAGAGAAAGTAGGGGAGAGACTAAGAATATAATTCCTGAGGAACTGGTGTTTTTGGAACATCAGCAGTGGAGTGTAAATAAGGCAATCCATAGAGCATCTTGTAAGGGGAAAGGCCAGTATCTTTTCGAGGAGCAGTTTGGATTCTTTTTTTTTTATTTGGTTTTGTCAAATGTTTTATTGAGTGTAGACATCTGGAGTACTATAAAACATGCATTATCTGTAGATTCAAAAAGGAGCAAGCCACATTGTTCTCACTGTCAAATGTGTTAGGCTTGGCATACATGATGGAGATTAATGAAGTATCATGAGAGTAACATGGTTCTTGAAAAGCTTCTATAATTTGGAGTAGGGTCTTAATCACATGAAAAGCAAAGGTGTTCACATTTAGTGAACTTGCATTTCATTGGGGGGAGAGGGTACACAGTATTTTAATTTTAAAACAAAAATAATTTGTTTGTCAAAGATTCCCATCTCCCCAACTTTATTTGTCCCATTGGTTTTCAGAAATTTTAATTTTTAAAAAATCAGATGCCTTTTGGAAGTTGTATGTTTATCTGAGCAGTAACTAAATTTTATTTCTTCTTCAGTTGTTAAGGTGTGTTAAATTTGAAGAAGATAATATCTCCATCTTCAACAATATAATTTCTGCCTTGTTGTCTGTACTTTCCAGCAGCCTTGACTGCATTTTCAGAACCTTCCTCTTTAAAATCTTCATATTTCATTACTTCAGCCATAATGAATCCCTTTTCAAAATCTGTGTGAATCTTTCCTGCAGCCTGAGGAGCCTTAGTCCCTTTCCTGATGGTCCGTGCACGCACTTCATCTGGGCCTGCAGTGAAAAAGTATTTTAGTTGGAGTGCTGCAAACCCAGCCTTAATGATCTTTGGCAAAGCACTTTGTGTCATGTTCGCTTCCAGATACTGCTGTCTCTCCTCAGCACTCAATTCTTGCAACTTGAGTTCCAAGGCCCCACTAAAAGGAATGACCAAGGCACCTGGGTCATACTTGTCCACCCACTCTTTAATTTTTATCAGCCATTTGTTTTTCTTTCTAATGTAGTCTTTTTCAGAAAGATTAACCAAGTAGACCATTGGTTTTGAAGTCAAAAATAAGTGTTTATTCAACACTTCAATCTCTTTGTCATTCCAATCATGATAGAAGCGAACAGGTTCTTTTGATCTATAACCCAGGATTTTACTTTGCACATTATATCATATTTGGGTTTTAGTTTTTTATCTCCTCCTCTCACAGCCACCTTTTCTAGTTTATCTATAATGGGCCCAGTCATTCCTCATCTTTAAGCTGAAGCTCTTCATGTATTATTTCTATATCTCGAATAGGATCTACACTTTCTTCAACATGTGTGATATCATCATCTTCAAAAGCACGTGTTAGATGAAAGATGCCATCACAAGCACTAAAATGAGATAAAAAAGCATTCCCCAGGCCCTGCCCATTGTGAGCTCCTTTCACAAGGCCAGCAATATCCACTACATTTAGAAAGGCAGGAATTTTGCTTGCTGGTTTGTGATATTGGCAAAGAAAGTCAAACCTTTCATCTGGCACAGGTACTCTGCTCTCATTAGGATCAATAGTGCAGAATGGGAAGTTTTCTGCTGAAGCCTGACTATTGGTTAATACATTGAAGAAAGTAGATTTCCCAACATTTGGCAATCCAACAATACCAATTTTCAGTGAGGTTCCAAATCTTCCAATGATTGGGGGTGGTTTAATTCCATCACCTCCCTTTTGAGGGGGCATCGTGCTCAGCCTGGGCTATGACACGGGGTCCCAGTAGCAGCGAGAGAAAGGTCCTGCCGGCAGCCAGAGGCGGGGAGGAAGGAGGAGAGAACGCAGGCCCGGCCCCTCCGCCGAGCGGCATGCCGCACTACGGCGGCGACAGCGGTGGAACCGCCGTTTGGATTCTTAACAGGGCAATAGGAAGATATTTGATCCCTGGCAACCGAATCTATAGAACTAACTTGGTTAAATGGTTCTTTAAGGTCTGATTCATCCTTTCTACTCTCCCTGATGAAGGTGGGTGCCAAGGAGTATGATATTTCCATCTAATGTCTAGCGCTTAGGATAGCTTTTTAATGATATGTGCTATGAAATAGGTTTCACTGTCTGAGTCAATATTTTCTATTAGCCCAAACCTGGGCACTATATTTTCAATTAATGCTTTAACTACATGATTGGCCATTGCATTTGAAAAGGGAATAGCTTCGACCCAGTGAGTGAGGTGATCTGCTATTACTAAGTACTTTAGGCAACCGATTGGGGGCATTTCAATGTAATCAGTTTGAACACTTTGGAATGGTCTTAGCCCTGAATCCCTCCCCGCCCAGGGATGATTTCTTTATAACTTGTTTGTTGGTTTCCTTACATGTTAAGCAACTATCCATAACCTGTTTGGCTAGGGTATATACCCATAAACCCTGAGAACTGTGTCACACATGGCTTGGGGTCCCCAGTGTGTCCCTTGATGCAGGTGGGTAGGATTTCTCTCATGAGCGGTTTGAATAGCATTTCTCTTTGATCTGGTAACACCCATTTTCCTTCTGAGTTTTCTTTGGCTCCATTTTTATTAATTTTTCCTTTTCTGCAGCAGACAAGGTAGGGGTTGCAGCAGGGGGAGGAAGACGAGGGGTTAAGTGAAAGGTGTTTCAGATGAAATGGCAGCCTGTTTAGCCACTTGATCTGCAAGGTTATTTCCCTGACTTGTAAAGGAAAAGTCGTTTTGGTGTCCGGGGACATGTACAATGGCTATTTCTTCTGGCAACTGGAGATTGTTTAAAACATGGACGATTAGCTCCTCGTGGGTAAGATATTTTGGCCTTTAGTTTTTTTTTGTTTTTTGGTGTTTTTTTGAGACGGAGTCTTGCTCTGTCACCCAGGCTGGAGTGCAGTGGCACGATCTCAGCTCATTGCAAGTTCCACCTCCCGGGTTCACGCCATTCTCCTGCCTCAGCCTCCTGAGTAGCTGGGACTACAGGATCCCGCTACCACACCTGGCTAATTTTTTTGTATTTTTAGTAGAGACGGGGTTTCACCATGTTAGCCAGGATGGTCTTGATCTCCTGACCTCGTGATCCGCCCACCTCAGCCTCCCAAAGTGCTGGGATTACAGGCATGAGCCACCGCGCCTGGCCTGGCCTTTAGTATTAATAAGACCTTGCTCAGCCCAAATTTTTCCAAATATATGAGCTACTCCAAAAATGTATTTAGAATCAGTATGAATAGTTCCTTCCTTGCTCTGTAAGTGTTTTAAAACCTGGCTGAGTGCAAATAGTTCACATGCTTTGGCAGACCAACTATTGGGCAACCTTCCTGACTCTGTTTCTTCAAGAGTTTCTCCATCAATTACTGAATACCCATTGTATTTTTCTCCTTTAATTGCTTGGGATCAACCATCTATAAATAAGTGTCACCCCATTTTGAAAGGGGTCTCTCTTAGATCCGGCCTGACCTTTGTTTGGTAGTCAGTTAGATCTAGACATAAGTGTTCTCTTTTTAGATTTGGGTCCCCTGTTAAGAAACCTCTCGGATTGAGTGAGTTATCAGTAGTCAAGGTTAAATCATCTTTTTAGTAAAATAGCCTCCTATTTTAAGATTCTGGAGTCAGTGAGCCACCTTCCTGCTTTTTTATTTAAAATAGCTCTAACTTGGTGGGGTGTGCTTACAGTCAATTTCCCCCCAAAGATTAATTTTCTACTTTCTTCAACTAATACTGCTGTAGCTGCAACGAATTGGATGCACTGAGGCTACCCACAGGTGACTGGGTCTAAAATTTTTGATAGGAAGGCTACGGGCTGCCGGTGACCACCATGTTCTTGAGTAAGAACCCCTAAAGCTACCCCGTTATTTACATTAACAAAAAGATGAAATGGCTTTTCTAGGGAAGCTAAGGCTAAGACAGGGGCAGTTATGAGTTTGTATTTCAGCTCTTCAACCTGATTGACTTCCTCAGAAGTCCACAGGAGACGGTCCAGTTTCCACTGGGTAAGCTTTTCATATAAAAGTTTACTTTTTAGGGCATATGAGTCAATCCATAAGCATCAATATCCAACTAATCCTAGAAATTTTCTGAGTTATTGCTTAGTTTGAGGCAAGGGTAAGGACACGATGCCTTCAACTCGTTCAGGTCCTATCCTTTGCTTACCTGCACTTATTAAGTGGCCTAAATATTTAACTTCAGGCTCCACATACTGAAGCTTTCCCTTTAAGAACCATAACCCCTCGAACTCCAGATGGTTAAGGATATGTGTAGAGAAGCCAGCTACTTTCTCTACATCTTCAACAGATACGAGAATATCATCCATGTACTGGAGCAGGCATATTTGCTTTGGGATGACAACTTTTTCTAACACTTGTTCTAAAATTTGACCAAAAAGGTTTGGAGAGTCTGTAAACCCTTGAGGTAAAACTGTCCATCAATAATGTTGTTTTCGCCCTGAATGGGGATCCTACCACTCAAAAGCAAATATGTCTCAGCTGTCTTCAGCCAAGGGGCATGCCCAGAAGGCATCTTTTAAATCTATTACTGTAAACAACTGATGGTTTTTTGGAATTTTGCTGAGAATGGTGTATGGGTTGGGGACAACAGGATGGTTAGTTTGGACTATTTGATGGCTCTAAGATCTTGTACCAAGTCGGTATGACGCATCTAATTTCTTGACTGGCAATATTGGAGTGTTATACGGGGACATACAGGGTTCAAGGAGCCCATCTTTAATAAGACTTTCAATTATAGGCTTTAATCCTATCCTGCCCTCTAGGGGTTTGGGGTATTGTTTCCTCCTTACTACTTCCCTGGGGATTCTTAACTTGATGTGGATTGGAGGGATTCAGAGTTTCTCCCGGTTTCCTTCCCTTGACCAGACACTAGGATTAATGCATTTTTCATCTGTGGTGGTGAGTAGGTTTAATGAGGTAAAGAATCCTTTAGGACCAACTTGTAAGCCTGTGCCTAATTCTAGCATTAAGTCTCTTCCTAATAGATTAGTTTCTGCCTCAGGGATCAACAAAAATTGGATATGAGTCAGCCGATCTTGGTATTTAACTTCTGTACTTTCTAAGATTTTTGCTTTAAATCCTTCTCCTTTTACCCCAGAGACTAAAAGTTCTTCTGAAGAGCAGGCAATGTTGGATGGGGGGAAGCAAATGGAGGAGCGAGCCACTCCTGAATTGACTAAAAGGTGATAAGCTCATGTTTGGTTCCCACCTGTAAATTTATCAAGGGCTCCTGGTGGGACTCGAGATAAACAGAGCCCCTGACCCCCCTGTTCTTCCTCAAAAGTCATGAGTTGAAGGGCTTCTTTCTCCTTTTCCAGTTTGGGACATTCTCTTTTGAAGTGGCCTGCCCTTCAAACGGTCTGGACGGACCGTTTATAGTTTCTGGCCCCCTGGAAGCTTTGTTTAGAAGCATAAACGAGGGTCTGGACCTTTTATAGTTTCTGGCCCCCTGGAAGCTTTGTTTAGAAGCATAAACGAGGGTCTGGACCTTTTATAGTTTCTGGCCCCCTGGAAGCTTTGTTTAGAAGCATAAACGAGGGTCTGGACCTTTTATAGTTTCTGGCCCCCTGGAAGCTTTGTTTAGAAGCATAAATGAGGGTCTGGACCTTTTATAGTTTCTGGCCCCCTGGAAGCTTTGTTTAGAAGCATAAACGAGGGTCTGGACCTTTTATAGTTTCTGGCCCCCTGGAAGCTTTGTTTAGAAGCATAAATGAGGGTCTGGACCGTCTATCGTTTCTGGCCCCCTGGAAGCTTTGTTTAGAAGCATGTGGGTGTGGGGCCACCTGCTGGAAAGTGGATAACGTGAGTTTTTGCCTTTTGTTTTTGCTTCTTTCCTCACATATATTTTTTGAGCTTCTCCCAGAAGTTCACTTAGAGGTTGGTTTTCCCAGTCTTCTAATTTTTGTAACTTTTTTGAAATATCTGGCCAACTTGTAGTGACAAAATGGAGCTTTAACACTCCCTGTCCAAGGAGATCTTCCAAATTTAGGCCTGCATATTGTCTTGTTTGGTCCTTTATTCTTGTCTAGAAATTTCATAGGCCCCCTCATCTTTTTCCTATTGTATATCAAATGCTTTAGAGAGGTTTTGGGTTCAGGGTACTGATTCCCTAATTCCCTTTATTATCATTTCCCTTAGGTCTTGCATATTTTCCCAGTGAGCTGCATTAATATCGTCCCACCGGGGGTCTTGGGTGGGAAACTTTTGATCTGCGGTAGGAATGTTTGACCAGGAGGGTGTTCGTGTTCCCAAATTGCCATAGCAGCCCTACAGATCATGCTTCTTTCCTCCCCTGAAAAGAGGACGCAGGCCGGGCGCGGTGGCTCACGCCTGTAATCCCAGCACTTTGGGAGGCCGAGGCGGGTGGATCATGAGGTCAGGAGATCGAGACCATCCTGGCTAACAAGGTGAAACCCCGTCTCTACTAAAAATACAAAAAAAATTAGCCGGGCGCAGTGGCGGGCGCCTGTAGTCCCAGCTACTCGGGAGGCTGAGGCAGGAGAATGGCGTGAACCCGGGAAGCGGAGCTTGCAGTGAGCCGAGATTGCGCCACTGCAGTCCGCAGTCCCGCCTGGGCGACAGAGCGAGACTCCGTCTCAAAAAAAAAAAAAAAAAAAAAGAAAAGAGGACGCCTAGGATGGACATTAACTCCACCCAAGTGTATAACTGAGGTCCTAAGAATTGATCAACCTGATCTGTTACCCAATAAGGTCATCCAATAACGGCTTAAGTTCCTTCTTCAAACTTCAGACCTCTGAACTGGTTAAGGGAGCATTCACAAAATTAATAGCCCCCCTGTCCTTGTGGCACCTCTTTTAAGGGGAAGAGAGTTGGGGCTGACTCCATAGATGTGGAGGGAAATGGGAAATTTTGGATATCTTTTTTACATTGTTCTACCTCACGTTGGAGTCCTTTTAGGGAGGGGTACTTAGGCTGAGAAGGAACAGGCTAATGGGATGGTGATTCCCAAGAATCAGGATTGTAAGGAGGAGGAATAACATGAGCAGGAGAAGGATCTGGAGCAGGAACGGGGACAGCAGCTGCTACCTGAGGGGAAGGGTTAGGGGCACTGAGCGTGGGGGAAGATGGTTTAGAGGATCCCATGTGCTGGAGTCTTTAGGCATGGGGACTGGCTTTTCTCACTCTTCAGTTTGAGGTGCTAGATTGGGTTTTTCCCTAGTTGTCTTTAAGGGAAAGAGGAGGACAGGTCCCTGCCTCCAACAAAGAGCATAGGCCAATTCTTCTTGAGAAACTGGACTTTTATCATTTACATATTGAATTAGAAGTTGACACATCACATCCTTGTTCAACCCAAACTTTGACCAAAAGATTGAGGGTTTGAGGATGGGTCCCTGAGTCCAAATAAAACAGCAATTGTTTGTCATTTGTTGCTTTTTCTTATGTTTAGTTCTCTCATTATCTTTCCAATATTTTAACATGAGACCTAGGGGACTAACAGCAGGAATATCTTTATTGCTGTCTTTATCCTTTTTACTCCGTGTCCTGCTTGGGGTGTTTCCCATGTTGGGTCCTAGTTAGGCTCAGTCCCTCATATTAGAGATTTCTTGCCTATCCTTTTCTGGAGGCTTGCTGAGGCTCAATCCCTCGTATTAGAGATTTCTTGCCTCTCCTTTTCTGGAGGCTTATTGAGGCTCAATTCCTCATACTAGAGATTTCTATCCTTTAGCCCCACCTGCTGGAGGCTCCTTGCACCCTTCTTTTGCTTCGTCCACTCTGGTCGCTTCCCGGAGGGGAATTTAGGTCCCTCTTACCTTTGGCACGCCCATATAAACCCCATGGCAGGATCTGTCCTAAGCCATATGAGGTGACCATGGAACCTCAGATAGGACACACTCATTCCGCACAGCAGTAGTGCTTAGTACCATTCACACAAGCAGCACCGCAAGCAGTAATGCTTGTGATCATTCATACACACTTTCAATCTCCAGAATATCTTGACCACCAAGGAAATGCTTTGTCACCCCTGTGACGTTTCTTACCTTGGTCTGTGCACAAAGTTACCTGGTCACCATGGTGTTGCAAGCCTTTTTTTCCCCACATTGCTGAGAGTCCGGATTTATTCGTCACACCGGGTGGGTTCCGATCCCTCACCCTGAGGCCACCGCAACGAGGCAGTGGGATGCGTCTCCTTATGAGAGGTGACCAGAGACCCCTTCCCTGGAGGAGAATGGGAATCCTGGATGAGCCCCAGATTTGTTGGAGATAAATGCTCAGTGCTGCAAAGTGAAACCAGCACTGAGGCGAAAGTTTTCTCAGCAAGGCAGTTTACTTCTGCAGAAGGGTGCTGCTTGTGTCAATCACGATTGCAAGAGCACACTGAACAAAGGAAAGCAGGGGTTTTTATTCCTAATGCAATCCCTCCCTCTGTGTCACTCCTTCATGGGCTGTGGTTGGACTGCACAATCTAAACTGACCCGACTGGCTATTTGTGAATACTTTCCCAAATAAGGAAGGGAAGGGAAATGTGAGTTACAGTGGTGGGACGTGCGGTTTCGAAGGGAGGAAGGGGTGAAGAGTGGGTAACCAAGGGAACAGATGTGAGTTATTGATTAGAACTGACAGGAAGGTTGTTTACAGTTACAGTAACTAGGGGCAAGGAGGCATAGAGAACAAGAAAGTTGAGTTTGAGAACAAAGAACAAGGAAGTTAACAGGCTAAACCTTTGAAGAGGAATTTTATTGTATCCTACATACTTGTTCTAGTCTGTTGTTGACACTTTCCAGTGCATTTTTTATTTCTTTAAGTGTGTCTTCCATTTGCAGAAATTGTGATTTTTTTTTCTTTATAATATCTGTTTCTCTGGAGAATTTTTCATCCATAGCCTGTATTTTTTTTGTTGTCTTTTTCTTTCTTTCTTTCTTTCCTTTTTGAGACTCTGAGCACTCTGTTGCTCACAGTGCAGTGGTGCAATCTCAGCTCACTGCAACCTCTGGCTCCTGGGTTCACGCAATCCCCCTGCCTCAGTCTCCCAAATAGCTGGTATTACAGGCACGCACCACCATGCCTGGCTGATTTTTGTATTTTTAGTAGAGATGGGGTTTCACTGTGTTGGCCAGGCTGGTCTGAAACTCCTGACCTCAAGTGATCAGCCCGCCTCAGCCTTCCAAAGTGCTGGGTTTACAGGTGTGAGCCACTGCGCCTGGCCAATCCATAGCCTGTATTGTTTTTTACATTTCTTTGTTTTCACTTTTCTCTGGTCTCTCCTTGAGTAGTTTAATAATCAACCATCTGAATTGTTTATCTGGCAATTCAGAGATTTCTTCTTGATTTGCATTCATTGCTGGGGAGCCAGTATGGTCTTTTGGAGGTGTTATAGAACCTTGTTTTGTCATATTACAATTTTTCTGATTTCTTCTCACTTGGGTAGACTATTTCAGGGGAAAAATCTGGAACTCAGGGGCTACTGTTCAGATTCTTTTGTCCCACAAAGTGACCCCTTGATGTGATGCATTCTCACTTCCCCTAGGGATGGAGCTTCGTGAGAGCCAGACTGTAGTGATTGCTATTGCTCTTCTGGGTCCAGCCACCCAGTGGGGCTACCAGGTTCCAGGCTGGTGCTGAGGAATGTCTGCAAAGAGTCCTGTGATGTGATCCGTCTTTAGCTCTCCTGGCCATGGACACCAGCACCTGCCCTGGTGGAGGTGGGAGGGGAGTAAAGTAGACTGTGAGTGTGAGAGTCCTTGCTTGTAGTTTTGTTTACTGTGCTGGCTTTCTCAAATGCTGGTTATGCTAGCAGTGAAGTTGTCACGTGGACAGACTCAGGAGCTCTGGTTAGCCAGGATGTTGAAAGCAGTGGAATTAGCTGTTTCTCATTTCTTGGAGCAGGGTTATTCTGTTGTGAGTTGCTGTAATGTCCTGACTTGGTTGGCCTCCAGCCAGGAGGTGGCGCTTTCAAGAGAACACCAGCTGCAATACTGGAAGGGGGATATAAGCTTGCCCTAAGTTGGCCAGGATAAGTATTAGGATTTCTCAGGTGATGGACAGGGCCATAAAGCTCCCAAGAGTTTATGGCTTTTGTGATCAGCTACCAGGGCGGGTAGAGAAATACTGTCAGGTTGGGGCAGGGTTAGGTGAGTCTGAGCTCAGACTCTTTCTGGGAATCTGTTACTGATTTGTAATTTTTAATTCCACAGTGTTTGAAGGACATACTTGAAATAAATTTAAAATCCATTGAGATTTGTTTCGTGGTCCAGAATATGGCCTATCTTGGTGAATGTTTCATGTGTATGTGAAACTGAGGCATCCATCCCTCAGTTTCAACCACCCATAGATTTGTAATTATTGTTACATTTACAGAAATTTGCAGGAAGGTAGAAGTTATTGTCTTGAACCATAAAATGTCTGTTTGAAGTCTTTGAGCTCCTCAAGGGTAGGCTGTATGTCCTGTTTACCTTTGATCCTCTCAGCATAATGCTTGGACCAAAATGGAAGCTCAGCAGACACTGGTTGAATGAATGAATAGATGACATTCAATTGTTAGGCTGTGTTCTTGTTTTGGATTTAGAAAATATGCTTATTGTGTTATGCAGTAAGACTGAGTCTTGGCTGGGTGCAGTGGCTTACGCCTGTAATCTCAATACTTTGGGAGGCCGAGGCGGGTGGATCACTTGACGCCAGGAGTTTGAGACCAGCCTGGCCAACATGACAAGACCCTGTCTTTACTAAAAATACAAAAAAATTAGCTGGGCATGGTGATGCACACCTGTAATCCCAGCCACTCGGTAGCCTGAGGCATGAGAATCTCTTGAACCTGAGAGGTGGAGGTTGCAGTGAGCCATGATCATGCCACTGCACTCCAGCCTGGGCAACAGATCAAGACTCAGTCTTAAAGACAAAAAAAAAATACTGAGTCTTACACACTTTTGCATCTTTGTGTCTCTATGGGTCTTCACACAGAGCTTGGCACATTGTAGCTGCTCAGTCAGCACTGTTTGTGCTGAATTGAAACAATGAGATATGTACAAAGGGGCTGTCTCTCACTACTGGGGATTTAAAGCCACCCCGAGGCATTTGACAAGCTGTTCTGGCCAAGGTTGAAGAGGTTGTCCTGTCATAAAGCCCCCCTAAGACACGATGTCACACATAGACACCACTCTCTGTGCGAAAGGGGGGGCCTGTGCACTGAACTCCCAGACTTAGCTGGGCCTCAGTGCTCTTCTTGGGTTTGGTCATAGAGCCCAAGAGGAGGTGGATAAGCTGCCTGACACTGATATGGTAAAAGGATTATCTGCAAATTTCTAGCGTCATCAAGACTGGCCTCTTTGGTAAGCAGGCCTAAAAGGCTGCCCTCAATAAACCACCCAAGCAGGTGAAAATTATCTTTTTACCCCAAGCCTACCTTTTCTACATCCTTTTCTACTTGACATGCCCCTTCTACTCCTCTTCTCTCCTTTAGGACTCATTCTCTCTCCTTTCCTCCTCTAAACCTCCTCCCAGAAAAAGACCTGATAACTTCACTTACACCGGGTTATAGATGACTAACAAAGCTTACTATTGAATATGTTGCTAGTAGAAATCTGAATAAGATACAGCAACTTTTCAACTCTGATCATGGCTTTAAGCACTAGGATGAACCACAGCCATGTAATCATTCATTTGGTTACTTAGCTCTTGCTGTGTCCCACGCATAGGGGCAGCTACTGGGGGTTTGACAGTGGACGGACCTAAAGTGGTCCCTCAGTCAGGGGACAGTACAGTACCCTAAGAGCACTGAGGAGGGCCACCCCACGTGAACTCAGGTAGTCAGGGGAGCCCTCCTGAAAGCCATGGAGAAACACATTCTAGGTAGATAACAGCACATGCAAAGGCCTAGAAGTGAGTGTCTGAGGTGGAAGTTCAGAGTCTTTGTCGTCAGCAGGACATGGAGCAACACTTGACACTGAGATTTAGGCAGAGAGAGACAGAGAGACAAAGAGAGATAGAGAGACAGAAACAGATACAGAGACAGAGTTAGAGATACAGAGAGATAGACAGAGACAGAGACAGAGATAGAGACAGAGCTAGAGATACAGAGAGAGACAGAGATACAGAGAGAGAGACAGATAGAGATACACAGAGAGAGGCAGAGACAGAAATAGAGACTGAGAGAGGCAGAGACAGAAATAGAGACTGAGAGAGGCAGAGACAGAAAGAGAGACAGAGATAGAGACTGAGAGATAGAGAGAGAGAGGAGTGGGAGGCAGGAGGAAAACCAGAGCATGAGAGGTCAAGCAGCCAAGAGAAAAGGCGAGGTCGTTAAAGAAAGGGTCAGCTGGGGCCGGGTGCAGTGGCTCATGCCTGTAATCCCAGCACTTTGGAAGACCGAGGCAGGCGGATCACGAGGTCAGGAGATCAGGACCATCCTGGCTAACATGGGGAAACCCCGCCTCTGCTAGTAAATACAAAAAAATTAGCTGGGCCTCGTGGCGGGCCGCCTGTAGTCTCAGCTACTCGGGAGGCTGAAGCAAGAGAATGGTGTGAACCCGGGAGGCGGAGCTTGCAGTGAGCCGAGATCACGCCACTGCACTCCAGCCTGGGCGACAGAGCGAGACTCCGTCTCAAAAAAAAAAAAAAAAAGAAAAAAAGGAAAGAGTCATCTGGGTTTGGTGACTAGGAGCGTACTGGTGACCTCAGTGAGAGGGGTTTCAGAGGCTTATGGAGACAGATGCAGGTTGAAGTGGGTTGTGGAGCGCGGGAGAGGTAGAAAGCAGTAAACACACCCCCCTGCCAACACCGCTCTCAGGAGACTGGTGTGAAGGGTAGGGGTCAGGACGCTAGCTGGAGAAGGAATATGGGTTCAAGGGAGAAGGGCTTTTTTCTTTTTAATAGAAGAGATCAGCAATGTGTTTAGATGCTGATGGAAGGAGCCAGAAAAAAGGAAAAGGAGAATATTGAGGTGAGACGAGATCTCCAAATGCCCAGGTGAGAAGACCAGATGAAATGGGGCACAGGAGTAGGGCTAGCTTTGGAGAGGGAGGGGAGCCTCCTCCCCTCATCCCCTGGAAGAGGAAATGGCCTATGAGAAGCCGGTGAGTGAATGGGTTTGGTGGCAGCAAGTTGAGGAAATGCCCATCTGATGGTGCCTATGCTCTCTGCTGAAAGTGAGGAAGACGGGGTGGAGTTAGAGGTTAAAGAGAGAATCTAAGGGCCGGGCACTGTGAGGAGGGCAAGGCAGGATTGGTGGAGCCCAGGAGTTCAAGACCAGCCTGGGCAACATAGACCCTGTCTCTACAAAAAAATTAAAAATTAGCTGGGTGTGGTGAGGTGTGCCTGTGGTCCCAGCTACTCAGGAAGCTGAGGTAGAAGGATCACTTGAGTGCAGGATGTTAAGGCTGCAGTGAGCTGGGATCACGCCACTGCACTCCAGCCTGAGTGACACAGCAAGACTCTGTCTTTAAAAAAAAAAAAGCGGCTGGCCTCGGTGGCTCACGCCTATAATCCCAGCACTTTGGGAGGCCGAAGCGGGTGGATCACCTGAGGTCAGGAGTTTGAGACCAGCCTGGCCAACATAGTGAAACCCCGTCTCTACTAAAAATACCTTAAACCCAGGAGGTGGATGTTGCAGTGAGCCGAGATCGTGCCAGTACACTCCAGCCTGGGCGACAGAGACTCCGTCTCAGAAAAAAAAAAATCCTCCATAGTCACCTGTAGTCAGCCCTTCCTCCTACTCCCACACCCTGGCAATCAGTGAACAGTTTCCTGTTCCTGTGGTTTTGACTTTGCAAGATTGTCATATAAATGGAAACGTATGGTAGCCTTTTCAGTCTGGTTTATTTTACTTAGCACAAAGCATTTGAGATTCATCTAGTCACGTGTATCCGTAGTTTGTTCCTTTTATTGAGTGGTGGTCCGTTGTATGGATGTTCCAGAACATTTGGACTATTTCTAGTTTGGGGCATAAAATGACTATTAATAAATATTCACGTACAAGTTTTGTGTGTACATAGATTTTCCTTATACTTGAGTAAAGAGCAAGCAGTGGAATTTTTGGGTCATATGGTAAGTGTAAGTGTAAGTTTAATTTTGTAAGAAACTCAAACTTTTTCAAAGCGGCTGTCTCACCAGCAATAACCGAGAGGTTCCAGTTGTTCTACATCCTCTCCAGCATTTGTTATCTTTGAAAGCCATTCTAAAAGGCATATTTCAATTTTTATTAGATCGGTATTGAAGATTTACATTATTAAACTATGTAAACAGGCCAGGCGTGATAGTTTACACCTATAATCTCTGCACTTTGGGAGGCGAAGGCAGGAGGATCACTTGAGCTCAGAAGTTCCAGACCAGCCTGGTCAACATAGTGAGACTCTGTACAAAAAATAAATAAATAAATCAGAAAAAAATTAGCTAGGTCAGGCACAGTGGCTCATGACTGTAATCCCAACTACTTGAGAGGTCAACATGGGAGGATCGCTTGAGTCCAGGAGTTCGAGACCAGCCTGGACAACATTGGGAGACACTGTCTATTTAAAAAAAAAAGTTAGCTGAGTGTGGTGGTGCCCTGTGATCCCAGCTACTAAGGAGGCTGAGGTAAGAGAGTCACTTACTTGAGCACAGGTTGTGGAGGCTGCAATGAAACGTGATCACTGCACTCCAGTCTGGGCAACAGAGCAAGACTCTTTCTCAAAACAAAAAATGTAGACAGTAGTCCCAGTTGAGTCATGATTTTAGTTTTTCTTCTTCTCTTTCTTTAGTTTTTTGTGCATCTATTATATAATTAATTCATCCAAATTTTCTGCCAAAAATAGAAATCTCTTTGCAGTACATTTAGACAGATCAGGTCATTTCTCCATATGATCATTTTCATGGAGACATACCTCAGGAGCCCTCCATCTCCCTGATTCCATCTGGATGGGGCACCCTGGAGGTCTGCTGCCCAGCTGTCCTCCTGAGCTCCCCATTCACCCTTATGCTCAGGGGCTCTCCCTGCCTGTTGTGCTGGGTCCCATGTTATCTTCTTTTCTATTTCTCCTTTATTTTAGTGAAGTACAACCTCCGGTTGCTTCCTGAGGGGTAGTCTTGAGACATTTATGTATCCGAAAAGACCTCAATTCATACTTGCATAGCATTTGGCTAGGTATAGAATTCTAGATTGGAAATATTTTCTCTCAGATTTTGAAGGTCTTCATTATCTTATAGCTTCAAAGGTTGGTGTTGAGAAGTCTGATGAATGTTGAATTCCTGAAGCTCAGACTTTTTTCTCTCTGGAAGTTTTTAGGTTCCACTCTGTCCTCAGTGTTGTGAAATTTCTTGACAACAAAATTGGGGCTGGGTCCCCTTCATTCATTGTCATGAACACTTGGTGTTTCCTTCTCTACTGGAAACTCATGTTCTTCCTCTGTGAGAACTTGTCTTGACAAAAAAGAAACGTATTTATTAGACATCTTTCCTTGCCTCCTAGTCTGTTGTCTCTGCTGCCTGTTTCAGAAACATCTAAACAACAATTTAGCTGTTGGAGCTCCTGACCTCTTCTCTGTTCTTTCTGGAAAATATTTTTTTCAAGTTTAGCTTCTATACTTTGATTAGATTTTGCATTCCTATTATTATATTTTTTATTTTTAAGGCAAGGTCTTTCTCTGTTGCCCAGGCTGGAGTGCAGTGGCACGATCACAGTTCACTGCAGCTTTGTTCCTGGACTCAAGTGATCCTCCCACCTCAGCCTCCCAAGCAGCTGGAACTACAGGTGTGTGCCACCACACCCAGCCAGTATTTTAATTTTTTGTAGAGATGGGGTCTCCTTAGGTGGCCCAGGCTGGTGTTGAATTCCTAGGCTCAAACAATCCTCCTGCCTTAGCCTCCCAAAATGCTGGGATTACAGGCATGAGCTAAGGCACCCAGACTATATTTTTGTCAAGAATTAGTGGTGGTGGGTGTTTGAACATTTTTATTTTAGACCCTCCTATTCTTATTTCATGAATGCAAAGTTTTATCTTTCTAAAGATATCAATTATAGATTTTTTTTTTAAGACAGTTTCACTCTTGTTGACCAGGCTGGAGTGCAATGACGCGATCTTGGCTCATTGCAGCCTCCACTTCCTGGGTTCAATCGATTCTCCTGCCTCAGCCTCCTGAGTAGCTGGGATTACAGGCACCCGCCACCACACCTGGCTAATTTTTTGTATTTTTAGTAGAGACGGGGTTTCACCATGTTGGCCAGGCTGGTCTCGAACATCTGACCTCAGGTGATCCACCCATCTCGGCCTCCCAAAGTGCTGGGATTACAGGCGTGAGCCACCCTGCCCAGCCCAATTATAGATTTTTTTAGGTTTAGGTGTTGACAGTAGCTCTCACCTCAGCCTGTTCTCTCTCCTTGTCATGCAGCCCACAGGGGAGACGGTCAGGCCAGTGTGGGGGCTAATGAATAAATGCTACACTGTGCCCACTCAGGTGGGTAAGGGCTGGCACTCCTCTTCCCCTGGAGTGGGGTGGCTGTGCTGGCACCCTTGGCAGACACAGTAAGGGGGACTGCACCTGGAAAGGATGGGCCAGTCGGGGCAGGACTACTCATCACTCATAGTGTGGGTGTCAGGGTTGTGTCACCCCTCCCACCTCCCTCTGCAGAGACGCAAAGTCAAGAGTAGGAAGAAGCCAACCTCTGAGGTAAGGCTTCCCCTGGAAGGCCCAGGGCTGGGGCTCTCTCCTTTCAGAGCTCAGTTAGACCCAGACACACGGCAGGGAGTCCCAAGGGTAGTGGCAGGCCCCCTCCAGGAAACTCACAAGGTTACCACAGCTCAACTGAAAAGGAAGAACTTCCCAGGACTGTGACACCCCAGTGTGAGAACAGGAGGATGAGGTGCTCTGAAGGCCTTTCTGCCCAGTCTGCCCTCTTATTCCTCCTGCAGGTCACGACCCCCAGGAGACCTGGAGGACTGAATGCTGCTGCCCCCAAGGAGGAGGCTGCTGTCTTATCCCAGGAGGGAGAGCAGGTGAAGTCCCCAGGGGAGGAAGCACCTAGCCCCATTCCTGCTGAGCAGGAGGTGGCAGGTACCCCAGACTGGGAGGTAAGGACAGCCCGGGGCTTCGACTGAACGTCTCCAGCGTGGGTCCAACTGAGCAGCCATGGAGCACTGCAGAGTGGGAGGCAGCAGGGCAGGGAGGCAGTGCTGGAGGCTGGCTCAACCCCAAGACCAGCAGGCCAAGCTGCCATCCCAGGGGAGCGAGGACGTCTGTGCAGAGCTGAGAGGCAGCAGCCATGTGTGAACAGACTGGGCCTCATCCTGGCCCCACCGACTTTGTGTGGACAGAGCCTGTTTCCCTGTCTGTGCAACACAGAACCTGCCTGATCTCACTGCTGGATCCCTCTTCTTCCTGCCAGGAAAATAAAAAGGTTCAAAAGGAAGTTGCTGCGTATCCATCTGGTAAGACCACTGACCCAGCGTGCTGCAGGGGGCTGCTTCCACCCTGCTTCTCAGTGACTGCCAGGGTCACAGACACCCCAGCCCTTTCCCACCTTCCTGACCTGGGGAGGGGAGGGGAGGGAAGCAGCCCAGGAGTCAGGTGCCTTGACCTTCCTGGGAGCCTCCTTGGGTGGGCAGGAACTCTGGGCCACTCCCCTGAGCTGGCTGCATCCCTACCTTTCACCACAGCTGACCTAGCCCCGGGGCATCTCAGAGGGAGGGTTGGTTGCTCCCAGGAGGGGACTCACAAGGCTGCCTGTTTCTACTTTGCAGAGGCCTCTGAGGACAGCAAAGAGCAAAGGCCCTGGGACCGGGTCTACGTGCCCATGACAGAGCTCTGGCTGGACTGGTTCTGAGCCTCTAACACCCCCAAGACTCAGAACCGTGAAGAAAATCTTTCCAATAAATCCAAGAGTTGCTGCTGCTATAGGCCAGGCTGCCACCTTTCGGGGCCTCCGTCTTCAGACAAACCCAGCCTGGCTTCATCCACACTCCCTGTCCCCACAGCTGCAGGAACAGCACTTCCTGCCACCGAGCCGTGTGACCACAGTGGATTGTCTCTGGAGGGGCCCAAGGGGGCCCTGGCCACCCTTCTGACTGACTCGGTGCCAGGGGACAGACCAACGTCCCTCTCGTGCTGACAGCCGGGCCGCACCCTGGCATGAGGGCATTTACAGAAATGCTGGCGGAACTGCTGCCAGGGAGGCTGTAGGGTCCTCTGGCAAAAGAGGCCTCAGGTGGCTCCTCAGAGTGTCTGTGGTTCTCTGTCCCAGGCTGTTCCCTAAGAAGGTCTGCCCAGGACTCAGGTAATCATATGCTCATTAGAAACTCTTGGGCACTGCCTGTGTGCCCAGCCCAGCCCATTATGTCGGTGAGGACAGACGTGGAGGACAGCAGTCCCTGCCCTTGGTTGGGGCTCCAGGCCAGCAAGGGCCACAGCCCCAGAAGGCAGAGCAGGAAGACAGGACTCGGGGCAGGTGAAGCAGCCTTCTCGTTGGCAGAAGGGAAACAGAAGCCCGGGGTGGGGAAGGGTGGGGAAGGGTGGGGAAGGGTGGGCCCGGGGTCACACGGGGTAATGGCAGAGCAAGGACTAGGGTCAGGGTCTCTGGCTCTCAGCTGCCCATGCCACCTCCTCCTTCTCTGCCCGCCCCAGTGCCTTATGGGTCCAAGGTTGACTCCTGTCCCTAGGGCAGGCCTGTGGGCCCTGCCTGATCCCTACTGGGAGGATGGTACCTAGGGTTGGAGCCAAACAAGTGTCCTCCTCCAGCGCCAGCCTGGCCCTGAGTGCGAACTCGTCACTGGTCAGGGGTCTGTACAGCAGCGTCCCTGAGGGCCCAGAGAGGTAGCCAGTCCTGTGGTGAGGTGACGAGGCTGAGGGTGGTGGCTCAGTCCTGGGCTTCCATGGGGCCTTCCCAGGGAACGTTCTGGCACCTGCCGACTGAGCCCTGGGAGGTAGGTAGCCCTGGCCTATAGCTCCCTGACGCCATGATTTGTCTTCCGTTTTGGGGTGTCATATATGAAGGGAGGTGACTGTGATGGTGCTGGCAGGACTGCTGTCCCTGATGTGGGGTGGGCTGAGTTAGGCCTGAAATATGGGCCTCCAGGCTGAGTCCTGCCCTCTCCACCACATCCAGGGCTGACTGACACCTCTAGTCAGCCCATTCTGGCCCCTTCCCCACATGCCAGGACAATGTAGTCCTTGTCATCAATCTGGGCAGTCAGAGTTGGGTCAGTGGGGGACATGGGATTATGGGCAAGGGTAACTGACATCTGCTCAGCCTCAACGTACCCCTGTCTCAAATGCGGCCAGGCGGTGGGGTAAGCAGGAATGAGGCAGGGGTGGGGTTGCCCTGAGGAGGATGATCCCAACGAGGGCGTGAGCAGGGGACCCGAGTTGGAACTACCACATTGCTTTATTGTACATTAGAGCCTCTGGCTAGGGAGCAGGCTGGGGACTAGGTACCCCATTCTAGCGGGGCACAGCACAAAGCTCATAGGGGGATGGGGTCACCAGGAAAGCAAAGACACCATGGTGGCTGGGCCGGGGCTGTCCAGTGGGCACCGAGAAGCTGAAGTGCTGCAGCAGGGAGGTGAAGAAGAGGAAGAGCTCCATGCGGGCCAGGGGCTCCCCGAGGCATGCACGGCGGCCTGTGGGGAGGGGAGGGGCGTCAGTGAGCCTGGCTCCTGGGTGATACCCCTGCAAGACTCCACGGAAGGGGACAGGGAGCCGGGCTCCCCACAGGCACCTGCTGAGAAAGGCAGGAAGGCCTCCGGCTTCACAAAGTGGCCCTGGGCATCCAGGAAGTGTTCGGGGTGGAAGCGGAAGGGCTTCTCCCAGACGGCCTCATCCTTCAGCACCGATGACAGGTTGGTGATGAGTGTCGTTCCCTGGGCAGAAGATGCAGGGTGAGAGTGGGGACTGGACTCTAGGATGCTGGGACCCCTGCCACCAAACACACGGGGGACACACACTGCCTGGCACACAGCTGGACTCTGTCAACTAGTCCTGCGCCCGAGAAGCTCCACAGTACCCTCTCCGACCCCACAGCAGGGCGCAGTCACACCTCTCAGAGGCACCCACACTGCCCCCTCTCCCTGCAGGTGTTGGGTCCTCCAACATTCTGGCAGGTCCTGGTTTGTCTCCCCACTAGACGGGGGCTCTGGATGGACAGGCCAGCCCTGCCTATACTCTGGACCCCCCACCCAAGTGGGGACAGTCAGTGTGGTGGCATTGAGGACTAGGTGGCCAGGGTTCCTAGAGTGGGCCCACCTGGCAGTAGCCATGCTGGGGCTATCACCAGGGGCTGGTGCTGAGCTGGGGTGAGG
This sequence comes from Homo sapiens, assembly GCF_000001405.40. Classification (NCBI taxonomy): domain Eukaryota; kingdom Metazoa; phylum Chordata; class Mammalia; order Primates; family Hominidae; genus Homo; species Homo sapiens. The sequence continues at coordinate 49,772 of NT_187682.1, forward strand.
AGGGCGCCAGGCCTACCTTAGGGATGCGGAAGCCCTGTACTTCGATGTCACGGGATGTCATATGGGTCACACCCAGGGGGACGATGTCCCCAAAGCGCTGCACCTCATGAATCACGGCAGTGGTGTAGGGCATGTGAGCCTGGTCACCCATCTCTGGTCGCCGCACCTGCCCTATCACGTCGTCGATCTCCTGTTGGACACGGCCTGGACAGACATGCGTCCCCACAATGGGTCAGCACCCAGGGGGTCCGGCCCTGACACTCCTTCTTGCCTCCTATGTTGGAGGAGGTCAGGCTTACAGGATCCTGGTCAAGCCTGTGCTTGGAGCCCCGGGTGTCCCAGCAAAGTTCATGGGCCCCCGCCTGTACCCTTCCTCCCTCGGCCCCTGCACTGTTTCCCAGATGGGCTCACGCTGCACATCCGGATGTAGGATCATGAGCAGGAGGCCCCAGGCCAGCGTGGTCGAGGTGGTCACCATCCCGGCAGAGAACAGGTCAGCCACCACTATGCACAGGTTCTCATCATTGAAGCTGCTCTCAGGGTTCCCCTTGGCCTGAGCAGGGCCGAGAGCATACTCGGGACAGAACGGGGTAGCCCCCAAATGACCTCCAATTCTGCACCTGTCAGCCCAGATGCGGCTCGCCGGGTGATGCACTGGTCCAACCTTTTGCCCAGCCTCCCCTCATTCCTCCTGGGACGCTCAACCCACCACCCTTGCCCCCCACCGTGGCAGCCACTCTCACCTTCTCCATCTCTGCCAGGAAGGCCTCAGTCAGGTCTCGGGGGGGCTGGGCTGGGTCCCAGGTCATCCTGTGCTCAGTTAGCAGCTCATCCAGCTGGGTCAGGAAAGCCTTTTGGAAGCGTAGGACCTTGCCAGCCAGCGCTGGGATATGCAGGAGGACGGGGACAGCATTCAGCACCTACACCAGACAGAACGGGGTCTCAATCCCTCCTGTGCTCTGCGTTCACCTGGACAAGTCTCAGGCCCCAGCCATCTCCAGGTAGACCCAGGGCCTGCCTGTCCTTACCACTGACCTCACCAAGTCCCTCCCCAAGTGCCAGCCTCCACCCTCTCTCCTTGCCCAGAGGAGAAACCTAAAATCGAAATCTCTGACGTGGATAGGAGGTACAGAGTCCTTGGCCTCTCCTGGTGCCCCCTGACCCGGGCACACCTCTCCCACGACCATGTCTGAGATGTCCCCTCCTCCTCCAGGCCCTTCTTACAGTGGGGTCTCCTGGAATGTCCTTTCCCAAACCCATCTATGCAAATCCTGCTCTTCCGAGGCCCCAGTCCAGCCCCGGCACCTCTCGGGAGCTCGCCCTGCAGAGACTCCTCGGTCTCTCGCTCCGCACCTCGCGCAGAAAGCCCGACTCCTCCTTCAGTCCCTCCTGAGCTAGGTCCAGCAGCCTGAGGAAGCGAGGGTCGTCGTACTCGAAGCGGCGCCCGCAGGTGAGGGAGGCGATCACGTTGCTCACGGCTTTGTCCAAGAGACCGTTGGGGCGAAAGGGGCGTCCTGGGGGTGGGAGATGCGGGTAAGGGGTCGCCTTCCCCGTCCCCCGCCTTCCCAGTTCCCGCTTTGTGCCCTTCTGCCCATCACCCACCGGAGTGGTTGGCGAAGGCGGCACAAAGGCAGGCGGCCTCCTCGGTCACCCACTGCTCCAGCGACTTCTTGCCCAGGCCCAAGTTGCGCAAGGTGGAGACGGAGAAGCGCCTCTGCTCGCGCCACGCGGGCCCATAGCGCGCCAGGAACACCCCTGGGGGTGGGACGGGCACGTGCGCGTGGCCATGAAGGCATTAGCCCCACCATCCACCACCCACTCCAACCCTATGCTCCCCCTGGTCTCCCGCAGTCCCTGGCTCTGTCCAGCTGGTCACAGGGCCCACTCTTTGTGCATCCACCTTGCTCCCTTGGCTGGGGCAGGGCTTTGCCCCACCTCGTCTCTGCCCACCCTGACCGCCTTTGCACTCAGGGAAGACCCCGCGGGCCCCGCGCCACCCACACTGAGCTTACAGCACAGGTGCGGTCCCCGCCCCCCACTTCGACACCGGATTCCAGCTGGGAAATGCGCCAGCCTCACCCATTGGGCTCCTGCCAGGTCTCGGCAGTGGCCCCGCCCACTCGTCACAAGCCCCGCCCTCGTCCCCATGCTCACACCTCCCTAGTGCAGGTGGTTTCTTGGCCCGCTGTCCCCACTCGCTGGCCTGTTTCATGTCCACGACCCCGCGCCCTCTCTGCCCAGCTCGGACTACGGTCATCACCCACCCGGGTCCCACGGAAATCTGTCTCTGTCCCCACCGCTGCTTGCCTTGGGAACGCGGCCCGAAACCCAGGATCTGGGTGATGGGCACAGGCGGGCGGTCGGCGGTGTCCTCGCCGTGGGTCACCAGCGCCTCGCGCACGGCCGCCAGCCCATTGAGCACGACCACCGGCGTCCAGGCCAGCTGCAGGCTGAACACGTCCCCGAAGCGGCGCCGCAACTGCAGAGGGAGGGTCAGGGCCTCTTGTCAAGCCAGGATCCCCCCAGACTACAGGTCCTAGTCCTATTTGAACCTTGGACGACCCCCGGGGCTACCAGGAGTGAGCAGGTGGAAGGAGGAGACCCAGCCTCCTGATCCTGGGGCGGGGGTGGGGGTCACACCTTCTGTGATGGAGGAACTCAGTTTGGATGCGTCACCCAGGTATGACCTTGCAAGAGTCACCAAAATTGCCGAGAGGCCCCAGTTAGCATCCCATTCCCAGATGATGGTCCATGCCGGTGAGCAGTGAGGCCCGAGGACCCACAGTGCAAAAGGTTTGAACCGGGTCACTGCACCCCCTTCATCCTCGATTTCGTGATTTAAACGGCACTCAGGACTAACTCATCTTCCATTCCCAAGGCCTTTCCTTCTGGTGTCAGCAGAAGGGACTTTGTACTCCATAACATATGTTGCCCAATGGGCTTGCATGCCCACTGCCAAGTCCAGCTCCACCTCCAGGCCCTTGCCCTACTCTTCCTTGGCCTTTGGAAAATCCAGTCCTTCATGCCATGTATAAATGCCCTTCTCCAGGAAGTCCCCCAAACCTGCTTCCCCTTCTCAGCCTGGCTTCTGGTCCAGCCTGTGGTTTCACCCACCACCCATGTTTGCTGGTGGTGGGGCATCCTCAGGACCTCTGCCGCCCTCCAGGACCTCCTCCCTCACCTGGTCGAAGCAGTATGGTGTGTTCTGGAAGTCCACATGCAGCAGGTTGCCCAGCCCGGGCAGTGGCAGGGGGCCTGGTGGGTAGCGTGCAGCCCAGCGTTGGCGCCGGTGCATCAGGTCCACCAGGAGCAGGAAGATGGCCACTATCACGGCCAGGGGCACCAGTGCTTCTAGCCCCATACCTGCCTCACTACCAAATGGGCTCCTCTGGACACACCTGGCACCCCCACCCCACCAGGCACAGAGGACCAGGCAGGACACTCTCAGCACACCGAGCGCGTGACCCTTCCCTTATAAAGGGAGCTGATGATGGCCTTTGCCCTCTGCTGTGAGTGAACCTGCTGTGTTGACTGTGCTGCCAGTGGCAGAGTCAGGCCAGGGCGGGTATGGGCTGCTCCAGAGGTTCTTGCCCCTGCTTCCTGCTCCAGGCCCTTACCCAGGGTAGGCCGGTGGAGGGGCCTGGTCGGAGAAGTCACCCCCTCTCCCCACTCCAAGCTCCTGAAGCCTGCAAAGCCTTCTGGGATAACCAGGGTTTCAGTGGACCCGGCCATCCACCTCCCAGCTAGGCTCATACACCCTAATGTAGTCACAACCCCTCCTCCAGAACATGGCCTTGCCCTTTCCCTACCCCCACCTGCCCACTCCAGAGTGACCTTCAGCACCCTTATCTGTCACTGGCACTTACCTGGGGCCTTAGAGCTCCTGATGATGAGTGGCATCATGGGCCTGGTCCCTTCACTTCACCTTGCACTCTTGACATGCACAGACGCTATGCACACACCTGATGGTGCACAGATCTCTTGTCCACTCCCAGACACTTGTCCACTTGTTCACACTTGCAGGGACACGATTACACATGCAGAAAATCACCCACACAAAGACAATATTCACACATACACAGACTCACACTGACACTTAGAGCACACATTCTCTCTCACACACACCAGTCACACACACATACAGACCCGGCACCAAGTACCCCACTTCCCAGCCATGCCGGAGGTTTCCTGGATGGGACCACTCCTGTCCAGAGGCTGCTCCCAGCCCAGCCCACATTCCTGGGCTCTGGCCGGGCTATGGCTTCTTGTTTGCAACAGGGCTGTTCCCAGAGCTCCCAGTTGGTAGCCGGAAGGCCCTTGCCCCAGCCTGTGACAACATCCTCCCGGGCTGCCTGAGGGTCGTCCTCCTCCACTGCTTTCTGGCCTCCATGTTTCTGATTAGAAATCTGGTGGGAACGTTATGGAGGATCCTTTGTTCAGGATATGTTGCTTTATTTTTTTTTTCTTTAGACAGGGTCTCACTCTGTTGCCCAGGCCGGAGTGCAGTGGCAGGATCATGGCTCACTGCAGTCTCGACATCAAGTGGACCCCCTGCCTCCCAAGTAGCTGGGACTACAGGCACCACCCAGCCTAATCCTTTTTTTTTTTTTTTTTTTTTTTTTTTGGAGACGGAGATTTCCTCTTGTTGCCCAGGCTGGTGGCTCCCCTCCATTGTGCAATGATGCAATCTCGGCTCACTACAACCTTCACCTCTAGGCTTCAAGCAATTCTCCTGCCTCAGCCTCCTAAGTAGCTGGGATTACAGGTGTGTGCCACCACGTCTAGCTTTTTGTATTTTCAGTAGAGATAGGGTTTCACCATGTTGGCCAGGCTAGTCTTGAACTCCTGACTTCAGGTGATCCACCCACCTCAGGCTCCCAAAGTGCTGGGATTATAGGCATGAGCCACCGCACCCAATCCCAGCTAATTTTGTATTTTTTGTAGAGACCCGGTTCTTCCAAGTTGTCCAGGCTGGTCTTGAATTCCTGGGGTGAAGCGATCCTCCCACCTGGGCCTCCCAAAGTGCTGGGATTACAGGCCTGAGCCACTGTGACTACCTGATACGTCTCTTCTCTCTTGCTGCTTTCAAAATCCTGTCTTTTGTGGGAGGGCAGCTGCCGAGCTCTGGACTTCTATGGGATCATCCACTGAGGACAGGAGGACCGGGCCCTCTACAGGTGGATTGTATGGCAGCTGCCATGCTTGGAGCCAGTGCTCACCGAGCACGTGGCGGCTGTGGAGCTGGACGCGGGGTTGATAAGTCCGCTGGGGGTGACGGGCTCATCCATGAGTGGTACTTGATGTGGCTGCAGAAGGCGGATGTGGTGGTGGCAGAAGTGACACAACTGTCCCTGGGTATAGGCTATGATCTGTGCCAGGCCACAGCCCTCAATAAGTGAATCCTGTGCCTGCTCCAGCAGCAGTCCGGTGGAGTGCTGTCGGCCATGATCTGGGAAGAGGCAGATGGCTCTGGGTTCCAGGTGTGGGACTACGGAGAGGGACAGGTGGAGGCCCTGCTGCATGGATAGGTTGAGGCTGATCCTCCCGAGCAGGTTGCCTCCCCTAACCCAACCATTGGACCTAATCCCATTTTATTAAATTCTTCTCATCCCAGACACTGCTCTAGTACCAGTCCTGGCTCTTTGCCCCAGGAGCAAATTAAAAGGTACATTTAAAATTCTAAAAAAAGAAAAATCTGTCTTTTGACAGTGATTATGATGATGCGTATGGCTGAAGATCTCTTTGAGTTTACCCTACTTGGAGTTTGATGAGCTTTTTGGATGTACAGATTAATATTTTTCATCAGATTTGGGAGGTTTTTCAGCCATTAATTCTTCAACTATTCCTTTACTCCTTTCTCCCTGTCTTCTTTCCTGGGACTCCCATTGCGTGTATGTCGGAAAGCTTGACGGCGTCTCCAGGTCTCTGGATCTCTGTGCATTGCTCTTCATGCTTGTTCCTGTTCCTCAGAGGGGACTACCTCAGGTGGCCTCTCTCCATAGTCACAGGCTCTTTCTTCCAATTGTTCCAATCTGCTCTTGGGCCCCTGGGATGAATTTTCATTTATTTTACCCTACAACTCCAGAATTTTTATTTGGTTCCTTTTTCAACTTTTTTTTTGTTTTTTGTTTTGTTTTGTTTTTTGGAGTATCGCTCTGTCACCCAGGCTGTAGTGCAGTGGTGCAATCTCGGCTCACTGCAATCTCTGCCTCTCGGGTTCAAGCGATTCTCCTGCCTCAGCCTCCCGAGTAGCTGGGATTACAGGCACGTGCCACCACGCCCGGCTAATTTTTGTATTTTAAGTAGAGACGGGGTTTCACCATGTTGGCCAGGCTGGTCTCAATCTCTTGACCTCATGATATGCCCGCCTCAGCCTCCCAAAGTGCTGGGATTATAGGCATGAGCCACCATGCCCAGCCCCTTTTTATAAGGTTCATCCCATTATTGATATTCTCTAATTGGTGAGACATTGTTCCCACACTTTCGTTAGTTCTTTTGACATGGTTCTTTTCTTTTTCTTGGGAGAGGGTCTCTCTGTCGCCCAAGCTGGAGTGCAGTGATGCAGTCATGGCTCACTGCAGCCTCAACTTCCTGGGCTGAAGTGATCCTCCTACCTCAGCATCCTGAGAGGCTGGGACCATAGGCAGCCAGCTAATTTTTTAAATTTTTTGTAGAGATGGGGGTCTCACCACATTTCCCAAGCTGCTCTCAAACTCCTGGGCTCAAGCAATCCACGGGCCTCAGCTTCCCAGAGTGCTAGGATTATAGGTGTGAGCCACTGCACCAGGCCTACACGTGGTTTCTCCCTTTGAAGTACTAGCCAGGCCTGACCATGCTTAGCTTCCGAGATCAGCAGGTTCCAGCCGGTGCAGCCTCAGATGCAGCATGTTTTAGGTCTTTGAACATATTTAAATGAGCTGACTGAACGTCTTTGTCTAGCAATTGCAGCATCGGGCTGGTCCCATTGGTGACTTTTCCCGTGTCTGGGTCGTCCTTTCGGTTTCCTTTCCATGTCTCATAATTTGTTAAAACCTGGACATTTCACGGGCGATAATGTGGCAACTCCGGAAGTCAGATTCTCTTCCCTGCCAAGGATGTGTTGTTGTTGTTGCCTGTTGGAGCTGTTTCTTTGCTGGGTGACTTTTCTGAACTAATTCTGACTAAGCATTAATGTCTCCATTCCCTGCGAGCTGTGGCCACTGAAGCCGCTCTTCAGTTACGGCAGTGGTCAGCTAATGACTGGTCAGAGAGTTCCTTAGGTGCCTGGAAGCGAAGTCTTTGCCGAGTGGGTCTCTCTCTGTGTGCCGGGCGTGGCTTCAGTGCTCGGCTAGGCAGTGCTCAACTTTCCCTTAGCCGTCACCTGCTGTCTGCACAGCACCTCAGGTCAGTCACGGGTGAGGGCTCAGGGCCTTGCCGGCCTTCCTGAATATGGGCACAGCTGCAGACAGCCTTACCCACGTGCAGGGCACCTAGATTCCCAAGAAGGGGCAAGAGCTGTTCAAAACCACTACAAGCTGGACATGGTGGCTCACACCTGTAGTGTCAGTGACTCAGAAGGCTGTAATGGGAGGATGACTTGAGGCCAGGAGTTTGAGACCTAGCAAGACCCCATCCCCCACCCAAAAAAACAAAAACAACAACAAAAACTCACTGTGGACCGCTCATGCCCCAGCTGCTGCTTTTTAACCCCAGCTGTTATCCATCACCACAGGCAGCTTCGATTTTCAATCATGGATCTGATGACTTTCAACAAACTTTCCTGAGGAAAGTGCTGTTCCCACCAGAAGAGATCTCAGGACAAATGTAGACAGCCCTGGCAAGTGGGGTCTCCCTGGGAGCTAGCAGACAGGTGAAAGACTGACAGTTCTTGGGGAATTAGGCTTTTCTTTTGTTTTGGAGATGGCGTTTCATACTTATCACCCAGACTGGAGTGCAATGGTGTGATCTCGGCTCACTGCAACCTCTGCCTCCCAGGTTCAAGCAATTCTCCTGCCTCAGCCTCCTGAGTAGCTGGGATTACAGGCACCCACCACCACGCCCAGCTAATTTTTTGTATTTTTAGTAGAGACGGGGTTTCACCATGTTGGCCAGGCTGGTCTCGAACATCTGACCTCAGGTGATCCACCCATCTCGGCCTCCCAAAGTGCTGGGATTACAGGCGTGAGCCACCCTGCCCAGCCCAATTATAGATTTTTTAGGTTTAGGTGTTGACAGTAGCTCTCACCTCAGCCTGTTCTCTCTCCTTGTCATGCAGCCCACAGGGGAGACGGTCAGGCCAGTGTGGGGGCTAATGAATAAATGCTACACTGTGCCCACTCAGGTGGGTAAGGGCTGGCACTCCTCTTCCCCTGGAGTGGGGTGGCTGTGCTGGCACCCTTGGCAGACACAGTAAGGGGGACTGCACCTGGAAAGGATGGGCCAGTCGGGGCAGGACTACTCATCACTCATAGTGTGGGTGTCAGGGTTGTGTCACCCCTCCCACCTCCCTCTGCAGAGACGCAAAGTCAAGAGTAGGAAGAAGCCAACCTCTGAGGTAAGGCTTCCCCTGGAAGGCCCAGGGCTGGGGCTCTCTCCTTTCAGAGCTCAGTTAGACCCAGACACACGGCAGGGAGTCCCAAGGGTAGTGGCAGGCCCCCTCCAGGAAACTCACAAGGTTACCACAGCTCAACTGAAAAGGAAGAACTTCCCAGGACTGTGACACCCCAGTGTGAGAACAGGAGGATGAGGTGCTCTGAAGGCCTTTCTGCCCAGTCTGCCCTCTTATTCCTCCTGCAGGTCACGACCCCCAGGAGACCTGGAGGACTGAATGCTGCTGCCCCCAAGGAGGAGGCTGCTGTCTTATCCCAGGAGGGAGAGCAGGTGAAGTCCCCAGGGGAGGAAGCACCTAGCCCCATTCCTGCTGAGCAGGAGGTGGCAGGTACCCCAGACTGGGAGGTAAGGACAGCCCGGGGCTTCGACTGAACGTCTCCAGCGTGGGTCCAACTGAGCAGCCATGGAGCACTGCAGAGTGGGAGGCAGCAGGGCAGGGAGGCAGTGCTGGAGGCTGGCTCAACCCCAAGACCAGCAGGCCAAGCTGCCATCCCAGGGGAGCGAGGACGTCTGTGCAGAGCTGAGAGGCAGCAGCCATGTGTGAACAGACTGGGCCTCATCCTGGCCCCACCGACTTTGTGTGGACAGAGCCTGTTTCCCTGTCTGTGCAACACAGAACCTGCCTGATCTCACTGCTGGATCCCTCTTCTTCCTGCCAGGAAAATAAAAAGGTTCAAAAGGAAGTTGCTGCGTATCCATCTGGTAAGACCACTGACCCAGCGTGCTGCAGGGGGCTGCTTCCACCCTGCTTCTCAGTGACTGCCAGGGTCACAGACACCCCAGCCCTTTCCCACCTTCCTGACCTGGGGAGGGGAGGGGAGGGAAGCAGCCCAGGAGTCAGGTGCCTTGACCTTCCTGGGAGCCTCCTTGGGTGGGCAGGAACTCTGGGCCACTCCCCTGAGCTGGCTGCATCCCTACCTTTCACCACAGCTGACCTAGCCCCGGGGCATCTCAGAGGGAGGGTTGGTTGCTCCCAGGAGGGGACTCACAAGGCTGCCTGTTTCTACTTTGCAGAGGCCTCTGAGGACAGCAAAGAGCAAAGGCCCTGGGACCGGGTCTACGTGCCCATGACAGAGCTCTGGCTGGACTGGTTCTGAGCCTCTAACACCCCCAAGACTCAGAACCGTGAAGAAAATCTTTCCAATAAATCCAAGAGTTGCTGCTGCTATAGGCCAGGCTGCCACCTTTCGGGGCCTCCGTCTTCAGACAAACCCAGCCTGGCTTCATCCACACTCCCTGTCCCCACAGCTGCAGGAACAGCACTTCCTGCCACCGAGCCGTGTGACCACAGTGGATTGTCTCTGGAGGGGCCCAAGGGGGCCCTGGCCACCCTTCTGACTGACTCGGTGCCAGGGGACAGACCAACGTCCCTCTCGTGCTGACAGCCGGGCCGCACCCTGGCATGAGGGCATTTACAGAAATGCTGGCGGAACTGCTGCCAGGGAGGCTGTAGGGTCCTCTGGCAAAAGAGGCCTCAGGTGGCTCCTCAGAGTGTCTGTGGTTCTCTGTCCCAGGCTGTTCCCTAAGAAGGTCTGCCCAGGACTCAGGTAATCATATGCTCATTAGAAACTCTTGGGCACTGCCTGTGTGCCCAGCCCAGCCCATTATGTCGGTGAGGACAGACGTGGAGGACAGCAGTCCCTGCCCTTGGTTGGGGCTCCAGGCCAGCAAGGGCCACAGCCCCAGAAGGCAGAGCAGGAAGACAGGACTCGGGGCAGGTGAAGCAGCCTTCTCGTTGGCAGAAGGGAAACAGAAGCCCGGGGTGGGGAAGGGTGGGGAAGGGTGGGGAAGGGTGGGCCCGGGGTCACACGGGGTAATGGCAGAGCAAGGACTAGGGTCAGGGTCTCTGGCTCTCAGCTGCCCATGCCACCTCCTCCTTCTCTACCCGCCCCAGTGCCTTATGGGTCCAAGGTTGACTCCTGTCCCTAGGGCAGGCCTGTGGGCCCTGCCTGATCCCTACTGGGAGGATGGTACCTAGGGTTGGAGCCAAACAAGTGTCCTCCTCCAGCGCCAGCCTGGCCCTGAGTGCAAACTCGTCACTGGTCAGGGGTCCGGACAGCAGCATCCCTGAGGGCCCAGAGAGGTGGCCAGTCCTGTGGTGAGGGTGAGAGGTGTCAACGTGCTGGCGGTCCTCGCTCGCTCTCAGCGCCTCCTCGGCCTCAGCTTCTGCTCTGACCACACTTGAGGAGCCCTTCAGCCCAGCGCTGCACTGTGGGAGCCCCTCTCTGGACTGGTGGAGGCTGGAGCCGGCTCCCTCTGCTTGCGGGGAGGTATGGAGGGAGAGGCGTGTGCGGGAACCTGGGTTGCTCGCGGGCCAGCACCAGTTCTGGGTGGGCAGGGGCTCAGCGGGCCCTGCACTCGGAGCGGCCGGCTGGTGCCTCTGGCCCCAGGCAGTGAGGGGCTTAGCACCTGGGCCAGCAGCTGCAGAGGGGGCACCGGGTCCCCCAGTACTGCTGGCCTGCCGGCGCTCACCACACTTGAATTGTCGCCAGGCCTCAGTCACCTCCCCGCGGGGCAGGGCTCAGGACTTGCAGCCTGCCATGCCCAAGCCTCCCTACGGTGGGCTCCCTGCGAGGCCTGAGCCTCCCGGATGGGTGCCTCCCACTGCTCCACGGCACCTGGTCCCGTCCACTGCCCAAGGGCTGAGGAGTACAGGTGCCTGGTGTGGGACTAGCAGGCAGCTCTGCCTGTGGCCCTGGCATAGGATCCACTAGGCGAAGCTGGCTGGGCTCCTGAGTCAGGTGGGGACTTGGAGAACTTTTATGTCTAGCCAGAGGATTGTATATGCACCAATCAGCACTCTGTGTCTAGCTCCGGGTTCGTGCATGCACCAATTAGCACTCTGTATCTAGCTAATCTGGTGGGGACTTGGGGAACCTTTATTTCTAGCTAAAAGATTGTAAATACACCAATCAGCACTCTGTGTCTAGCTCAAGGTTTGTAAACACACCAGTCAGCACCCTGTGTCTAACTCAAGGTTTGTAAACGCACCAATCAGTGCTCTCTGTCTACTCTATCTAGCTAATCTAGTGGGGACTGGGACAACCTTTATGTCTAGCTAAGGGATTGTAAATACACCATTCAGCACTCTGTGTCTAGCTCAAGGTTTGTAAATATACCAATCAGTACTCTGTGTCTAGCTCAGGGATTGTAAATGCACCAATCAGCTCTCTGTAAGTGGACCAATCCACTGTCTGTAAAATGGGCCAATCAGCAGGATGTGGGTGGGGGTCAGATAAGGGAATAAAAGCAGGCTGCCTGAAGTAGCAGCGGCAACCTGGTTGCCATCATTCTTTTGCTGTTTGCAGTAAGTCTTGCTGCTGCTGCTCCCTCATTGGGTCCACACTGCCTTTATGAGTTGTAACACTGGAAGGACTGCAGTTTCACTCCTGAGGCCAGTGAGACCACAAACCCACCAGGAAGAATGAACAACTCCGTACGTGCAGCCTTAAGAGCCGTAACACTCACTGTGAAGGTCTGCAGCTTCACTCCTGAAGCCAGCAAGACCACGCACCCACCAGAAGGAAGAAACTCTGAACACGTCTTAACATCAGAAGGAACAAACTCTGAACACACCATCTTTAAGAACTGTAACACTCACCGTGAGGGTCCACGGCTTCATTCTTGAAGTCAGTGAGACCAAGAACCCACCAATTTTGGACACAAGGTGACAGGCTGAGGGCGGTGGCTCGGTCCTGGGTTTTCCTGGGGCCTTCCCAGGGAATGTTCTGGCACCTGCCGACTGAGCCCTGGGAGGTAGCCCTGGCATATAGCTCCCTGACATGATTTGTCTTCCATTTTGGGGTGTCATATATGAAGGGAGGTGACTGTTGTGATGGTGCTGGCAGGACTGCTGTCCCTGATGTGGGGTGGGCTGAGTTAGGCCTGAAATATGGGCCTCCAGGCTGAGTCCTGCCCTCTCCACCACATCCAGGGCTGACTGACACCTCTAGTCAGCCCATTCTGGCCCCTTCCCCACATGCCAGGACAATGTAGTCCTTGTCACCAATCTGGGCAGTCAGAGTTGGGTCAGTGGGGGACATGGGATTATGGGCAAGGGTAACTGACATCTGCTCAGCCTCAACGTACCCGTCTCAAATGCGGCCAGGCGGTGGGGTAAGCAGGAATGAGGCAGGGGTGGGGTTGCCCTGAGGAGGATGATCCCAACGAGGGCGTGAGCAGGGGACCCGAGTTGGAACTACCACATTGCTTTATTGTACATTAGAGCCTCTGGCTAGGGAGCAGGCTGGGGACTAGGTACCCCATTCTAGCGGGGCACAGCACAAAGCTCGTAGGGGGATGGGGTCACCAGAAAGCTGACGACACGAGAGTGGCTGGGCCGGGGCTGTCCGGCGGCCACGGAGAAGCTGAAGTGCTGCAGCAGGGAGGTGAAGAAGAGGAAGAGCTCCATGCGGGCCAGGGGCTCCCCGAGGCATGCACGGCGGCCTGTGGGGAGGGGAGGGGCGTCAGTGAGCCTGGCTCCTGGGTGATACCCCTGCAAGACTCCACGGAAGGGGACAGGGAGCCGGGCTCCCCACAGGCACCTGCTGAGAAAGGCAGGAAGGCCTCCGGCTTCACAAAGTGGCCCTGGGCATCCAGGAAGTGTTCGGGGTGGAAGCGGAAGGGCTTCTTCCAGACGGCCTCATCCTTCAGCACCGATGACAGGTTGGTGATGAGTGTCGTTCCCTGGGCAGGAGATGCAGGGTGAGAGTGGGGACTGGACTCTAGGATGCTGGGACCCCTGCCACCAAACACACGGGGGACACACACTGCCTGGCACACAGCTGGACTCTGTCAACTAGTCCTGCGCCCGAGAAGCTCCACAGTACCCTCTCCGACCCCACAGCAGGGCGCAGTCACACCTCTCAGAGGCACCCACACTGCCCCCTCTCCCTGCAGGCGCTGGGTCCTCCAACATTCTGGCAGGTCCTGATTTGTCTTCCCCACTAGACGGGGGCTCTGGATGGACAGGCCAGCCCTGCCTATACTCTGGACCCCCCATCCAAGCGGGGACAGTCAGTGTGGTGGCATTGAGGACTAGGTGGCCAGGGTTCCTAGAGTGGGCCCACCTGGCAGTAGCCATGCTGGGGCTACCACCGGGGCTGATGCTGAGCTGGGGTGAGGAGGGCGCCAGGCCTACCTTAGGGATGCGGAAGCCCTGTACTTCGATGTCATGGGATGTCATATGGGTCACACTCAGGGGGATGATGTCCCCAAAGCGCTGCACCTCGTGAATCACGGCAGTGGTGTAGGGCATGTGAGCCTGGTCACCCATCTCTGGTCGCCGCACCTGCCCTATCACGTCGTCGATCTCCTGTTGGACACGGACTGGACAGACATGCGTCCCCACAATGGGTCAGCACCCAGGGGACACTCTCCTTCGTCCTGTGTTGGAGGAAGTTAGGCTTACAGGAGCCTGGCCACGCCTGTGCTGGAAGCCCCGGGTGTCCCAGCTAAGCCCAGGGGCCCCCAGCTGTACCCTTCCTCCCTCAGTCCCTGCCTTGGGCCCCAGCTGGGCTCACGCTGCACATCCAGGTGTAGGATCATGAGCAGGAGGCCCCAGGCCAGCGTGGTCAAGGTGGTCACCATCCCGGCAAGGAACAGGTTACCCACCACTATGCGCAGGTTCTCATCATTGAAGCTGCTCTCAGGGCTCCCCTTGGCCTGAGCAGGGCCGAGAGGATACTCAGGGGATAGAACGGGGTAGCCCCCAAATGACCTCCAATTCTGCACCTGTCAGCCCAGATGCGGCTCGCCGGGTGATGCACTGGTCCAACCTTTTGCCCAGCCTCCCCTCATTCCTCCTGGGACGTTCAACCCACCACCCTTGCCCCCCACCGTGGCAGCCACTCTCACCTTCTCCTTCTTTGCCAGGAAGGCCTCAGTCAGGTCTCGGGGTGGCTGGGCTGGGTCCCAGGTCATCCTGTGCTCAGTTAGCAGCTCATCCAGCTGGGTCAGGAAAGCCTTTTGGAAGCGTAGGACCTTGCCAGCCAGCGCTGGGATGTGCAGGAGGACGGGGACAGCATTCAGCACCTACACCAGACAGAACGGGGTCTCAATCCCTCCTGTGCTCTGCGTTCATCTGGACCAGTCTCAGGCCCCAGCCATCTCCAGGAAGACCCAGGGCCTGCCTGTCCTTACCACTGACCTCACCAAGTCCCTCCCCAAGTGCCAGCCTCCACCCTCTCTCTCCTTGCCCAGAGGAGAGACCTAAAATCGAAATCTCCAACGTGGACGGGGGTACAGAGTCCTTGGCCTCTCCTGGTGCCCCCTGACCCGGGCACACCTCTCCCACGACCATGTCTGAGATGTCCCCTCCTCCTCCAGGCCCTTCTTACAGTGGGGTCTCCTGGAATGTCCTTTCCCAAACCCATCTACGCAAATCCTGCCCTTCGGAGGCCCCAGTCCAGCCCCGGCACCTCTCAGGAGCTCGCCCTGCAAAGACCCTTGCTCCGCACCTCGCGCAGGAAGCCCGACTCCTCCTTCAGTCCCTCCTGAGCTAGGTCCAGCAGCCTGAGGAAGCGAGGGTCGTCGTACTCGAAGCGGCGCCCGCAGGTGAGGGAGGCGATCACGTTGCTCACGGCTTTGTCCAAGAGACCGTTGGGGCGAAAGGGGCGTCCTGGGGGTGGGAGATGCGGGTAAGGGGTCGCCTTCTCCGTCCCCCGCCTTCCCAGTTCCCGCTGTGTGCCCTTCTGCCCATCACCCACCGGCTTGGTCGGCGAAGGCGGCACAAAGGCAGGCGGCCTCCTCGGTCACCCACTGCTCCAGCGACTTCTTGCCCAGGCCCAAGTTGCGCAAGGTGGACACGGAGAAGCGCCTCTGCTCGCGCCACGCGGGCCCATAGCGCGACAGGAACACCCCTGGGGGCGGGACGGACACGTGGGCGTTGCCATGAAGGCCTTGGCCCCACCCTCCGCCACCCACTCCAACCCTGGCGCTCCACAAGGTCTCCCGCAGTCCCTAGCCCGGTCCAGCTGGGCACAGGGCCCACTCTTTGCTCACCCACATTGCTCCCCTGCCTGGGGCGGGGTTTGGCCCCACCTCGTCTCTGCCCACCCTGACCACCTTTCCACTCAAGGAAGATCCCGCCCGTCCCGCCCACACTGAGCCCGCAGCATAGGCGCGGTCCCCGCCACCGCCACTTCGACGCATCAGCCTCGCCCACCGGGCTTCTGGCGGGTCTGGGCAGTAGCCCCGCCCCCTCCCAGCCCACAGACTCGCACCTCCCCCGTGCAGGTGGTTTCCTGGCCCACTGTCCTCAGCCCACTCGCTGGCCTTTATCTCTGTTTCACGTCCAGGACCCCACGCCCTGTCGGCGCTGCTTGGGCTACGGTCACTGTCCACCCGGGGCCCACGGAAACGCGGTCTCTGTCCCCCACCGCCGCTTGCCTTGGGAACGCGGCCCGAAGCCCAGGACCTGGTAGATGGGCGCAGGCGGGCGGTCGGCCGTGTCCTCGCCGCGGGTCACCATCGCCTCGCGCACGGCCGCCAGCCCATTGAGCACGACCACCGGCGTCCAGGCCAGCTGCAGGCTGAACACGTCCCCGAAGCGGCGCCGCAACTGCAGAGGGAGGGTCAGGGCCTCTTGTCAAGCCAGGATCCCCCCAGACTACAGGTCCTAGTCCTATTTGAACCTTGGACGACCCCCGGGGCTACCAGGAGTGAGCAGGTGGAAGGAGGAGACCCAGCCTCCTGATCCTGGGGCGGGGGTGGGGGTCACACCTTCTGTGATGGAGGAACTCAGTTTGGATGCGTCACCCAGGTATGACCTTGCAAGAGTCACCAAAATTGCCGAGAGGCCCCAGTTAGCATCCCATTCCCAGATGATGGTCCATGCCGGTGAGCAGTGAGGCCCGAGGACCCACAGTGCAAAAGGTTTGAACCGGGTCACTGCACCCCCTTCATCCTCGATTTCGTGATTTAAACGGCACTCAGGACTAACTCATCTTCCATTCCCAAGGCCTTTCCTTCTGGTGTCAGCAGAAGGGACTTTGTACTCCATAACATATGTTGCCCAATGGGCTTGCATGCCCACTGCCAAGTCCAGCTCCACCTCCAGGCCCTTGCCCTACTCTTCCTTGGCCTTTGGAAAATCCAGTCCTTCATGCCATGTATAAATGTCCTTCCCCAGGACGTCCCCCAAACCTGCTTCCCCTTCTCAGCCTGGCTTCTGATCCAGCCTGTGGTTTAACCCACCACCCATGTTTGCTGGTGGTGGGGCATCCTCAGGACCTCTGCCGCCCTCCAGGACCTCCTCCCTCACCTGGTCGAAGCAGTATGGTGTGTTCTGGAAGTCCACATGCAGCAAGGTTGCCCAGCCCGGGCAGTGGCAGGGGACCTGGCGGGTAGCGTGCAGCCCAGCGTTGGTGCCGGTGCATCAGGTCCACCAGGAGCAGGAAGATGGCCACTATCATGGCCAGGGGCACCAGTGCTTCTAGCCCCATGGCTGCCTCACTACCAACTGGGCTCCTCTGGACACACCTGGCACCCCCACCCCACCAGGCACAGAGGACCAGGCAGGACACTCTCAGCACACCGAGCGCGTGACCCTTCCCTTATAAAGGGAGCTGATGATGGCCTTCGCCCTCTGCTGTGAGTGAACCTGCTGTGTTGACTGTGCTGCCAGTGGCAGAGTCAGGCCAGGGCAGGTATGGGCTGCTCCAGAGGTCCTTGCCGCTGCTTCCTGCTCCAGGCCCTTACCCAGGGTAGGGTGGTAGAAAGGCCTGGTCGGAGAAGTCACCCCCTCTCCCCACTCCAAGCTCCCCAAGCCCACACAGGCTTCTGGGATAACCAGGGTCTCAGTGGACCCGGCCATCCACCTCCCAGCTAGGCTCATACACCCTAATGTAGTCACAACCCCTCCTCCAGAACATGACCTTGCCCTTTCCCTACCCCCACCTGCCCACTCCAGAGTGACCTTCAGCACCCTTATCTGTCACTGGCACTTACCTGGGGCCTTAGAGCTCCTGATGATGAGTGGCATCATGGGCCTGGTCCCTTCACTTCACCTTGCACTCTTGACATGCACAGACGCTATGCACACACCTGATGGTGCACAGATCTCTTGTCCACTCCCAGACACTTGTCCACTTGTTCACACTTGCAGGGACACGATTACACATGCAGAAAATCACCCACACAAAGACAATATTCACACATACACAGACTCACACTGACACTCAGGGCACACATTCTCTCTCACACACACCAGTCACACACACATACAGACCCGGCACCAAGTACCCCACTTCCCAGCCATGCCCGAGGTTTCCTGGATGGGACCTCTCCTGTCCAGAGGCTGCTCCCGGTGAGCCTCAAAGCTGTCACGTGGATCCCAGCTCAGCCCACATTCTGGGCTCTGGCCGGGCCATGACTTCCTGTTTGCAACAGGGCTGTTCCCAGAGCTCCCAGTTGGTAGCCTGAAGGCCCTTGCCCCAGCCTGTGACAGCATCCTCCAGGGCTGCCTGAGGGTCGTCATTCTCCACTGCTTCCTGGCCTCCATGTTTCTGATTAGAAATCTGGTGGAAACATTATGGAGGATCCTTTATTTAGGATATGTTGCTTTTTTATTTTTATTTTTTCTTTAGACAGGGTCTCACTCTGTTGCCCGGGCCGGAGTGCAGTGGCAGGATCATGGCTCACTGCAATCTCAACATCAAGTGGACCTCCTGCCTCCCAAGTAGCTGGGACTACAGGCACCACCGAGCCCAAATAATTTTTTTTTTGAGACGGAGTTTTGCTCTGTCGCCCAGGTGGGAGTGCAATGATGCGATCTCGGCTCACTGCAACCTCCACCTCCAGGGTTCAAGCGATTCTCCTGCCTCAGCCTCCCAAGTAGCTGGGATTACAGGTGCCCACCACCATGCCTGGCTGATTTTTTGTACAAGAAGTTTATAGAACACCAAGCAGATTTAACCCAAAGAAGACGACCTCAAGGCATCTGATAATTAAACTCCGAAAGGTCAAGGATAAAGAAAGGATCCTAAAAGCAGCAAGAGAAAAGAAACAAATAACATGCAGTAGAGCTCCAATACATGACATGGGGCAGCCACCTTTCCAGTGGAAACCTTACAGGCCAGGGGGGAGTGGCATGACATATTTAAAGTGCTGAAGGAAAAAAAACTTTTAGCCTAGAATAACGTATCTGGCAAAAATATCCTTCCAACAGGAAGGAGAAATAAAGACCTTCCCAGACAAACAAAAGCTGCGAGATTTCATCAACACCAGACCTATATCCCACAAGAAATGCTAAAGGGAGTTTTTCAATCTGAAAAAAAAAAGGATATTAATGAGCAAGAAGAAATCATCTAAAGGTACAAAACTCACTGGTAATAGTAAGCACACAGAAAAACAGAGTATTATAATACTGTAATTGTGGTGTGTAAACTACTCTTATTTTAATTAGACTAAATGATGAACCAATCAAAAATAATAAGTACTTTTCAAGACAGACAGTACAGTAAGACATAAAGAGGCCGGACCCGGTGGCTCACGCAGGTAATCCCAGCACTTTGTAAGGCTGAGGTGGGTGGATCACCTGAGGGCAGGAGTTCGAGACAAGCCTGGCCAACATGGTGAAACCCCATCTCTACTAAAAATACAAAAAATTTAGCTGGGCATGGTGGTGGGCGCCTGCTACCCAGGAGGCTGAGGCAGGAGAATCGGTTGAACCTGGGAAGTGGAGGTTACAGTGAGCTGAGATCGTGCCACTGCACTCTAGCCTGGGCAACAGAGCAAGACTTTATCTCAAAAACAAAAAAAGAGAAACAACAAAAAGTTAAAAAGCACTAAGATGAACTTAAAGTGTAGAGTTTTTATTAGTCTTCCTTTTGCTTTATGTTTGTTTACGCAATCAGTGTTGTCATCCGTTTAAAATAATGAGTTATAAGATAATATTTGCAAGCCTCACGGCAACCTCAAATCAAAAAGCACACAATAAGTGAGACTGTGTCTCAAAAAGAAAAGAAGAAAAAACACACAATGGATACACACACAAAAAAAAGCAAGAAATTAAATCATACCACCAGAGAAAATCACCTTCATTAAAAGGAAGACAAGGAAAAAAAAAAAAAAGAGAAGACCACAAAACAGTGAGAAAAGAAATAACAAAATAGCAGGAGTAAGTCCCTGCTTAGCAATAATAACATTGAATGTAAATGGACTAAACTCTCCAATACAAAGACACAGAGTGGCTGAATGGATGAAAAAGCAAAGCTCAATGCTCTTTTGTCTAGAAGAAACACACTTCACCTGTAAAGATACACATAGACTGAAAATAAAGGGATGGAAAAAGATACTCCATGCCAATGGAAAACAAAAAAGAGCAGGAGTAGCAATACTTAGACAGAACAGATTTTAAAACAAAAACTGTAAGAGGAGGCCGGGTGTGGTGGCTCACGCCTGTAATCCCAGCACTTTGGGAGGCTGAGGCGGGCGGATCACGAGGTCAGGAGATTGAGACTATCCTGGCTAACATGGTGAAACCCCGTCTCTACTAAAAATACAAAAAATTAGCCAGGCGTGGTGGCGGGCGCCTGTAGTCCCAGCTACTCAGGAGGCTGAGGCAGGAGAATGGCGTCAACCTGGGAGGCGAAGCTTGCAGTGAGCCAAGATCGCGCCACTGCACTCCAGCCTGGGTGACAGAGCGAGACTCCGTCTCCAAAACAAAACAAACAAACAACAACAACCAAAAAAACTGTAAGAGGAGACAAAGAAGGTCATCCAGCAACAGAATATAACAATTGTAAATACATATGCACACAACACTGGAGCACGTAAAGCAAATGTTATTGGAGCCCAAGAGAGACGTTAACGCAATAACAGCTAAAGACGTCAACACCCCACATTCAGCATTGGACGGGTGTCCCAGATGGAAACCCAATAAGAAAACATTAGACTTAATCTGCACTACAAAAGAAATGGACCTACTAGATACTTACAGAACACTTCGTCTAAAGTCTGCAGAATACACATTCTTCTCCTCAGCACATGGATCATTCTCAAGGATACACCATATGTTAGGTCACAAGGCAAGTCTTAAAACATTACAAATGTTAAAATAATATCAAGCATCTTCTCTGACCACAACAGAATAAAAGTGGAAATCAACAACAAGAGGAATTCTGGAAACTATACATACACGTGAAAATTAAACAATATGGTCCGGAATGGCCAGTGGTTCAATGAAGAAATTAGGAAGGAAATTTGGCTGGGCACAGTAGCTTACACCTGTAATCCCAGCACTCTGGGGGGCTGAGGCAGTCAGATGACCTGAGATAGGGAGTTCGAAAGCAGCCTGGCCAACATGGTGAAACTCCGTCTCTACAAAAAATACAAAAATTAGCAAAGCATGGTGGCATGTGCCTGCAGTCCCAGCTACTAGGGAGGCTGAGATGGGAGGATTGCTTGAACCCAGGAAGTCAAGGCTGCAGTGAGCCCTGATGGCATCACTGCACTCCAGCCTCGGTGACAGAGCAAGACCCTGTCTCAAGAAAACACACACACACACACACACACACACACACACACACAGATGCTCAAACTAATATCATTTTGCTGTTAGAGCCAAGAGGGGTGGCCTGTGTAGTAAAAAGTGGGGAAGTCATTCCTTGCACAATGCAAGCCACTGGACCAAGAGTCCAAACTGACTCTTGACAGGAGGCTGGGAGATATCTGCTAAGGCCTTGGAATGTCCTGCCTGAAATAGTGTCTTTGTACATAGCTAGGGCCTTGGACCGTACAACACAGTTTATGCCAACAATGTGATCGAGGGTGGGGCCGTCAGGCCTGTATCCATCTGACTTCAGGAGGGGCTGGAGACTGAGTAACTGAGGTCAGCCATGCTGCGGGGGCTCAAGCCTAGGATGACCAACTCCCAACAAAAACCATGGACACCAAGGCCCAGGTGAGCTTCCGTGGCTGGCAGGGCTCTCTGCTGCCTCACTTACTGTTGGGGGAGAATTAAGCACTGCCTGTAGGAGTCCACCAGAAAAGAGAGCTGCAGCCTTGGCCTGGTCATTCTGGACTCTGGTCCCTGTGCCTTTCATCTTTGCTGACTTTAATCTGTACCCTTCTCTGTAATAAACTGTTAACAGGGAGAATAACAGCTTTTCTAGGGCTGTGAGACCTTCTAGAAATCACTGAACCTGAGGGTGGTCTGGGGGAGCACAACACAGTCTCCCACCCTAGCCAGGGAATGGGTTGATTCTTGGCATATGCCTATTCATATCCACCCCAGCCAAGACTTACGCATGGACTTTGTCACCAAGCCAGGCAGCCAGTGATGGGTCTCTGGGCGTGACGTGGGGGCAGGCTGTTTCCTGCTGAGAATCACTATGCCTGTATCTCAAGTAAAGTCAGGCGTCCAGGTAAGAGTGAATGAGGTGAGGCTGGTCTCGGTGGCTCACGCCTGTAATCCCAGCACTTTGGGAGGCTGAGGCTGGTGGTCACGTGAAGTCAGGAGTTTGAAACCAGACTGGCCAACATGGCGAAACCCATCACTACTAAAAAGACAAAAATGAGCCGGGGGTGGTACCCGGTGCCTGTAATCCCAGCTACTCAGGAAGCTGAGGCACGAGAATCGCTTGAACTCTGGAGGCGGAGGTTGCAGTGAGCTGAGATTGCACCACTGCACTCCAGCCTGGGTGACAGAGTAGGCTCCATCTCAAAAAAAAAAAAAAAAAAATGAATGAATGAGGTGAGGGGTGAGGGGTGAGGGGTGAGCACTGACATCAGGCAGGTGACTGACGACCCAACACAACCAGGACCTTGGCAGGGGCCCAGACTGGATACAGAAACCAAGTGGGAGCCACTAGACTAATTTATTGTACAACAGGGTCCCAGCTGAGGAGCAACTCTAGCGGGGCACAGCACAAAGCTCATAGGGGGATGGCGTCACCAGAAAGCCGACGACACGAGAGTGGCTGGGCCGGGGCTGTCCGGTGGGCACCGAGAAGCTGAAGTGCTGCAGCAGGGAGGTGAAGAAGAGGAAGAGCTCTATGCGGGCCAGGGGCTCCCCGAGGCATGCACGGCGGCCTGTGGGGAGGGGAGGGGCGTCAGTGAGCCTGGCTCCCGGGTGATACCCCTGCAAGACTCCACGGAAGGGGACAGGGAGCCGGGCTCCCCACAGGCACCTGCTGAGAAAGGCAGGAAGGCCTCCAGCTTCACAAAGTGGCCCTGGGCATCCAGGAAGTGTTCGGGGTGGAAGCGGAAGGGCTTCTCCCAGACGGCCTCATCCTTCAGCACCGATGACAGGTTGGTGAAGAGCATCATCCCCTGGGCAGGAGATGCAGGGTGAGAGTGGGGACTGGACTCTAGGATGCTGGGACCCCCAAGCACACAGGGGACACACACTGCCTGGCACACAGCTGGACTCTGTCAACTAGTCCTGTGCCCGAGAAGCTCCAGAGCACCCTCTCCGACCCCACGGCAGGGCGCAGTCACACCTCCTGGGAGCGCCCACGCTACCCCCTCTCCCTACAGGTATTGGGGTCCTCCAACATTCTGGCAGGTCCTGGTCTGCCTTCCCCACTAGACTGGGGCTCTGGATGGACAGGCCAGCCCTGCCTATACTCTGCACCCCACACCCAGGCTGGGACAGTCGATGTGGTGGCATTGAGGACTGGGTGGCCAGGGTTCCTAGACTGGGCCCACCTGGCAGTGGCCATGCTGGGGCTATCACCAGGGGCTGGTGCTGAGCTGGGGTGAGGAGGGTGCCAGGCCTACCTTAGGGATGCGGAAGCCCTGTACTTCGATGTCACGGGATGTCATATGGGTCACACCCAGGGGGACGATGTCCCCAAAGCGCTGCACCTCGTGAATCACGGCAGTGGTGCAGGGCATGCGAGCCTGGTCACCCATCTCTGGTCACCACACCTGCCCTATCACGTTGTCGATCTGTTGGACACGGCCTGGACAGACACGCGTCCCCACAATGGGTCAGCACCCAGGGGACCAGCCCTGACACTCTCCTGCCTCCTGTGTTGGAGGAGGTTAGGCTTACAGGAACCTGGCCAAGCCTGTGCTTGGAGTCCCGGGTGTCCCAGCTAAGCTCAGGGGCCCCCACCTGTACCCTTCCTCCCTTGCCCCCTGCACTGGGCCCCAGCTGGGCTCACGCTGCACATCCGGGCGTAGGATCATGAGCAGGAGGCCCCAGGCCAGCGTGATCGAGGTGGTCACCATCCCGGCAAAGAACAGGTCAGCCACCACCATGCGCAGGTTCTCATCATTGAAGCTGCTCTCAGGGTTCCCCTTGGCCTGAGCAGGGCTGAGAGGGTACTCAGGGGACAGAACGGGAAAGCCCCCAAATGACCTCCACATTCTGCACCTGTCAGCCCAGGTGCCACTTGCCAAGTGATCCAATGGACCCACCTTTTGCCTGCCTCATTCCTCCCGGACGCTCAACCCACCACCCCTGGTCCCTACCGTGTCAGCCACTCTCACCTTCTCCTTCTCTGCCAGGAAGGCCTCAGTCAGGTCTCGGGGTGGCTAGGCTGGGTCCCAGATCATTCTGTGCTCGGTCAGCAGCTCATCCAGCTGGGTCAGGAAAGCCTTTTGGGAGCGTAGGACCTTGCCAGCCAGCCCTGGGATGCGCAGGAGGAGGGGGACAACATTCAGCATCTACAGCTGACACAGAACGGGGTCTCAATCCCTCCTGTGCTCTGCGTTCACCTGGACCAGTCTCAGGCCCCAGCTGCCTCCAGGGAAGACCCAGGGCCTGCCTGTCCCCACCACTCACCTCCCCAAGTCCCTCCCCAAGTGCCAGCCTCCACCCTCTCTCCTTGCCCTGGGCTGCCAGAGGAGAAACCTAAAAATCAAAATCTCCAATGTGGACAGGAGGCACAGGGTCCTTGGCCTTTCTTGGTGCCCCCTGACCCGGGCACACCTCTCCCACGACCGTATCTGAGATGTCTCCTCCTCCTCAAGGCCCTTCCTCTAGCAGTGAGCTCTTCTGGAATGTCCTTTCCCAAACCACTCTATGCAAACCCTGCTCCTTGGAGGTCCGGCTGCAGTCCCGGCACCTCTCAGGAGCTCGCCCTGCAGAGACCCTGCGGTCCCTCGCTCCACATCTCTCACAGAAAGCCCAGCTCCTCCTTCAATCCCTTCTGAGCTAGGTCCAGTAGCCTGAGGAAGCGAGGGTCGTCGTACTCGAAGCGGCACCCGCAGGTGAGGGAGGCGATCACGTTGCTCGCCGCTTTGTTCAGGAGGCCGTTGGGGTGAAAGGGGCGTCCTGGGGGCGGGAGATGCGGGTCAGGGGTCGCCTTCCCAGTCCTCCACCTTCCCAGTTCCCGCTTTGTGCCCCTCTGCCCATCACCCACTGGCTTGGTCGGCGAAGGCGGCACAGAGGCAGGCGGCCTCCTCGGTCACCCACCGCTCCAGGGACTTCTTGCCCAGGCCCAAGTTGCGCAAGGTGGACACGGAGAAGCGCCTCTGCTCGCGCCACGCGTGTCCGTAGTGTGCCAGAAACACCCCTGGGGGCGGGACGGACACATGGGCGTGGTCATGGAGGCCTTGGCCCCGCCCTCCGCCGCCCACTCCAACCCTGTGCTTTTCCTGGTCTCCCGCAGTCCCTGGCCCTGTCCAGCTGGGCACAGGGCCTGCTCTTTGCTCACTCACCTTGCTTGGGTCTTGGCCCCACCTTGGCTCTTCCGACCCTGACTGCCTTTCCACTCAGGGAAGATCCCGCCCGTCCCGCCCCGCCCATACTGAGCCCACAGCAGAGTCCATCCCGGCTTCTAGACACCCGCTTCCAGCTGGGAAAGGCGCCAGCTCCGCCCACCCGGTTCCTGGTGGGTCTCGGCAGTTGCCCCGCCCACTCACAAGCCCCTCTTCCTCCCGCCCACAGACTCGCACCTCCCCAGTGGAAGTGGTTTCCTGGCTCGCTGTCCCCAACCCACTCACTGGCCTTTCTATGTGTCCCAAGTCCACAACCCCACGCCCTCTCAGCCCAGCTTGGGCTACGGTCACCGCCCACCCAGGACCCACGGAAACGCAGTCTCTGTCCCCCACCGCCGCTTGCCTTGGGAGCGCGGCCCGATGCCCAGGACCTGGTAGATGGGCGCAGGCGGGCGGTCGGCGGTGTCCTCGCCGCAGGTCACCAGAGCCTCACGCACGGCCGCCAGCCCATTGAGCACGACCACCGGCATCCAGGCCAGCTGCAGGCTGAACACGTCCCCAAAGCGGTGCCGCAGCTGTAGAGGGAGGGTCAGGGCCTCCGTTGGGTCAGGGCCTCCATCAGGCCAGGGTCCCCCCAGACTGCAGGTCCTAGTCCTATTTGAACCTTAGACGACCCTCGGGGCTACCAGGAGTGAGCAGGTGGAAGGAGGAGACCCAGCCTCCCGATCCTGGGGCGGGGATGGGGTCACACCTTCTGTGATGGAGGAACTCAGTTTGGATGCGTCACCCAGGTATGACCTTGCAAGAGTCACCAAAATTGCCGAGAGGCCCCAGTTAGCATCCCATTCCCAGATGATGGTCCATGCCGGTGAGCAGTGAGGCCCGAGGACCCACAGTGCAAAAGGTTTGAACCGGGTCCACTATATCCCTTCATCCTTGATTTCTAACTTACTCATTTATTTAGACCATGTCTGGCTCTGTCACCCAGGCTGGAGCGCAATGGCGCGATCTTGGCTCACTGCAACCTCCACCTCCCGGGTTCAAGCAATTCACCTGCCTCAGCCTCCCATGTAGCTGGGATTACAGGTGCCCACCACCGTGCCCCGCTAATTTTTGTATTTTTAGTAGAGGCAGGGTTTCACCATGTTGGCCAGGCTGGTCTCGAACTCCTGACCTTGTGATCCCCCCACCTTGGTCTCCCAAGATGCTGGGATTACAGGTGTGAGCCACCGCGCCCAGCCGTTGATTTTTTTTTTTTTTTTTTTTTTTTTTTTGAGACAGAGTCTCGCTCTGTCGCCCAGACTGGAGTGTAATGGTGTGTTCTCAGCTCACTTCAAGCTCTGCCTCATGGGTTCATGCCATTCTCCTGCCTCAGCCTCCCAAGTAGCTGGGACTACAGGTGCCCACCACCTCGCCTGGCTAATTGGTTTGTATCTTTAGTAGAGACGGGTTTCATTGTGTTAGCCAGGATGGTCTCGATCTCCTAACCTCATGATCCGCCCGCCTTAGCCTCCCAAAGGGCCGGGATTACAGGCGTGAGCCACCGCGCCCGGCCTGATTTCTTATTCGTTTATTTAGACATTGTCTGGCTGTGTCACCGAGGTTGCAAGGCAATGGCACAATCTCCACTCACTACAACCTCTGCCTCCTAAGTTCAAGCAATTCTCCTGCCTCAGCCTCCCAAGTAGCTGGGATTGCAGGCGTGCACCACTGTGCCCAGCTCATTTTTTGTATGTTTAGTAGAGACCGGTTTTTGCCATGTTGGCCAGACTCATCTGGAACCCCTGACCTCAGGTGATCCGCCCACCTTGGCTTCCTTAAGTGCTGGGATTATAGGCGTGAGCCACCACGCACAGCCTGATTTCCTGATTTAAACGGCACACAGGACCCTGACTCGTCTTCCATTCCCAAGGCCTTTCCTTCTGGTGTCAGCAGAGGGGACTTTGTGCTCCTAACATATGCTGCCCAATGGGCTTGCACGCCCACTGCCAAGTCCAGCTCCACCTCCAGGCCCTTGCCCTACTCTTCCTTGGCCTTTGGAAAATCCCATCTTTCATGCCATGCATAAATGCCCTCCCCCAGGAAGTCCCTCAAATCTGCTTCCCCTTCTCAGCCTGGCTTCTTGTCCAGACTGTGGCTCCACCCACCACCCATGTTTGCTGGTGGTGGGGGATCCTCAGGACCTCCTCCCTCACCTGGTTGAAGGTGTATATGTTCTGGAAGTCCACATGCAGCAAGTTGCCCAGCCCGGGCAGTGGCAGGGGGCCTGGCGGGTAGCGTGCAGTCCAGCGTTGGTGCTGCTGCATCAGGTCCACCAGGAGCAGGAAGATGGCCACTGTCACTGCCAGGGGCACCAGTGCATCCAGCCCCATGGCTGCCTCACTGCCCATTGGGCTCCTCTGGACACACCTGGCACCTCCACCCCACCAGGCACAGAGGACCAGGCAGGACACTCTCAGCACACCCAGTGCATGACCGTTCCCTTATAAAGGGAGCTGATGATGGCCTTTGCCTTCTGCTGTGAGCCAACCTGCTGTGTTGACTGTGCTGCCAGTGGGTGCAGGGTCAGGCCAGGGCGGGTATGGGCTGCTGCAGAGGTCCTTGCCCCTGCTCGCTCTAGTTGCCTACCCAGATTAGGGTGGTGGGCGAGAGGTGGCCTGGCATGGGAGCTCCACCCAAGTTGGAGGTATGGATTGTACTGGGTGCTGGGCTGTGTACTGGGAGCATGGTGGTAAGGCTGTGAGTCAATGCCCCAACGTAATGATGACCACGGGGAGTAGGAAGGTAACATAGCTGACATGACAAGCCAGCAGTGCCATGAGGGTCCATGGGGACGTTGTCCCAGGCTGGAACAGGACTTTCTGGGAAGGATTCATGGAGAACTTTGTCTAGCTGACTGAGGGGCTGCCTAGCACTGTAGGCCACGGCACTGGCAGTGGGACCAACCCACCCCTGGAATTTCCTGTGCAGGTGGCCTGAGGGGCAGCAGGAGGCCAGCAGCTGGAGCCTGGGTCTTTTCAGGTCTGGATGAAGACTGGATCTGGGGAACAAAAGGCAGGGAGAACAGTTTATTTAAAATTTAAAAATATATATATATTTTTTAGAGACAAGATCTTGCTCTGTTGCCCAGGCTGGAGTGCAGAGCTGTGATCATAGCTCACTCAAACTCCTGTGCTCAATCAAGAGATCCTATTTTAGCGTCCCGAGTAGCTGGAACTACAGGTGCACATCATTACGCTCGGCTAATTTTTTTGTTGAGATGGGTCCTCACTATGTTGCCCACGCTGGTCTGGAACTCCTGGCTTCAAGTGATCCTCCTGCCTTGGCCTCCCAAAGTGTTGGAAATAGAGGCATGAGCCACCTGGCCCAACAGAAGTTTTGAAGCTACTCAACTGACAGAGAGAGCAAGACCCATGCCTATCTGGGGACTTCTCAGATCTGGCTTGTGGTCTCCCAAACTGGCCTCAGCTGAATGAATGTTCCTGTCCTACATGGCAGCACTGTTCTATTTGGGACTGTGAGAGAATCAAGGTGCAGGGACAGCAGGATGGTCTGGGTGCTTGTTACATGGTGGCCCTTTATACATTACCTGTATGCACTCTTGGCCTTTTGAGGTGTCAGGCCCTCCCCAAGCAGTCATCATGAATCATGATGGGGGTGTGAAGGGCAGGGACAGGCATGCCTGCAATGTGGGCAGTGTCCTCCCGAGTGCCCTCCTTACCAGCCAGAGGCCTGTAATTCAAGATATGGCAGCATGAGGAAAACATTTAATAACAATGCCTGTGGCCTTTTCCAATCATTGTGCACCTGTGGCTTCCATTGATCGGGCACTTATGTGCCAGAAACTGCTGGTCAGACTGTGTGCTCTAGCTCATTAATCCTCCCACAGCCCCCTAAGGAGGTGGTTTTATGGTCCCCAAGGCACAGAGACTGAGGCTCAGAGATCACATAACAAGGTTCAAGTCACACAGCGGTGTTAGGAGTCCACATCCAATGTGTATGCTGAGCTACTATTCTATACTGTTTGGACATTACATTCTATTAATGGTCAGTATAGATGTTTCTGGGATTTATTATTTTTAGGAAACAGATCCAACCTGCCTTCCCTGAACAGTGGTACTGCTGTGTCATGGTAAAAAGTGCACTGTGCCCTGGCAGGCCCTATGGACGTTGCCAAGTGAGATGGTGTGAAAATATGTCAGCAAGTGGTAGACTAGGAAACTGCGGGCTCTCGTTCTCTTAGAGAGCTCAATGTTAAAGCTATAGGAGACCAAAACATCGTGAGAATTCTAGAAACTAGTTAGGATGCTGCAATGCCAGCTAGTGCAGAGCCAGGGAGGGACTGCACTGGGAAGGGTAGTCAAGTTGGAGCATTTTGCTTGTTCTTGCCCTTCCCCCTGCCAGGCATAGCAATGCTACTGGGAGAGACCCTCCAATTCCCAGCTCCTCCCATGGGATGGGTTTCTGCTGGGTCCGACTCAAGAGTGCTGAGTGGTGGGGTCTGTCTGCCCTCAGAGCAGCACCTCTGCGTTTCCACAGCTGCAAGGGGACGGGGTTATGGGCAGTGGAATAGTTGTGTCTGGGTATCCTGGAGGGGATTGGTGCCAGGACCCCCGGTAAATACCAAAACCCAAGGATGCTCAGGTTCCTTATGTAAAATGGCATAGTATACCTATGCAAATGCTCCTGTATACTTTAAATCATCTCTAGATTATTTGTAATGCCTAATACAGTGTAAATGCTACATAAATAGTTGCTATACTGTACTGCTCTTATTTGTATTTTTAGTTGTTATACTTTCTCAAGTTATCTTTGATGTGTGGTTGAATTTGTGGATGCGGAGCCTGTGGGTATCGAGGGCTGCTTGTACCCTAGAAACAGAAATGGAAAGCTCCAGGGGCAGGGCCAGCCTGCAGGGGGGCAGTTTAATGGGTAAAGCTTCCGTTGTATAAAATGAAAAATTCTGGAGATTGGTTGCACAACAATCTGAACACATTTCCCACTAAACTGTACTGTGACTGTTATGATGGTACATTTTTTTAACCACAATTTAAAAACTTTATGAGTATTAAAAAAATAAATGGCTATATACACACCTATTAGAATGGCTTAAATCCAGAACACTGACAACACCAAATGCTGGCAAGGATGTGGAGCATCAGGAACTCATTCATTGCTGGTGGGAGTACAAAATGGTACAGACACTTTGGAAGAAAGTTTGGCAATTTCTTTTCCTTTTCTCAGTTTTTTTTTTTTTTTTTTTTTTTTTGAGACAGAGTCTCACTCACTCTGTCACCCAGGCTAGGAGTGCAGTGGCACGATGATCTCAGCTCACTGGAACCTTTGCCTCCTGCGTTCAAGCAATCCTCCCACCTCAGCCTCCCGTTTAGCTGGGACTGCAGGCGTGAGCCACCATGCCTGGCTGATTTTTGTATTTTTAGTAGAGACAGGGTTTCACCATGTTGGCCAGGCTGGTCTCAAACTCCTGACCTCAGGTGATCCAGACAGTTTGGCAATTTCTTACAAAACTAGACATACTCTTACCATACAATCCACCAATCGTGCTTCCTGTACTTACCCAAAGGAGTTGAGGCCTTATGTCCACACAAAAACCTGCAAAGGGATGTTTACAGCAGCTTCATTTGTAATTGTCAAAACTTGAAAGCAACCAAGATGTTCTTCAGCAGTTGAATGGATAAACTGTGGTACAGCCAGACAATGGAATTATTTATCACTAAAAAGAAACAAGCTATCAAGTCATGAAAAGACACGGGTGAACCTTAAATGCACATTACTAAGTGAATGAAGCCAATCTAAAAAAGGCTACCTACTATCTAATCTCAACTATATGATACTTTGGAAAAGGCAAAACTTTGCAGACAGTAAAAGGCTCAGCGGTGAGGGACTGGGGCTAAGGAGGAATGAACAGTGGGACACGGAGGATCCCTGGAGCAGTGAAACTACTCTGGATCATGGTGCGTCCTCGTCTTTTTGAGACAGGATTTTGCTGTCACCCAGGCTGAAGTGTGGTGGCGCGATCACGACTCACTGTAGCCTCGACCTCCTGGGCTCAAGTGATCCTCCCATCTCAGCCTCCCAAGTAGCTGAGACTACAGGCATGCACCATCATGCCTGGCTAATTTTTGTATTTTTATGTAGAGATGGGGTTTCGCCATGTTGCCCAGGCTGTTCTCGAACTCAAGCGATACACCCACCTGAGCCTCCCAAAATGCTGGGATTATAGGCGAGAGCCACCACGCCCTGCCAGATCCAGGTCTTTATACATTTGTCAAAGGCCATAAAATGTACACCACCGGGAGTGGCCCCTAGTATAAACTATGGACTTTGGGTGAAAACAGTATGCCAACTCTGGTTGGGATGTTGATAGAGGGAAAGGTATGCATACGGGGGGAAGGGGTTATATGGGAACTGTCTGTACCGTCAGCTTAATCCTTCTGTGAACATAAAACTACTTTAAAAAAATCAATTAAGACAAACACTAAAGGAACTAAAAGGCACTTGAGCAGTTGAGGAGAACTGCAGAAGCCAGAAACTGGAGTCAGGAGGCATGCGTGTATCACTGCCACTCCCCAGTGAAGGTCATTACTGAAGCCAATTTAAGGAAAGACCTAGAACAATCACAAGTGCTCCACTCAGGCAAATCAAAAGGGGACAAAAGAATAAAAGACAAAATGACAAACATTTGCTGTCAGGAAAATATTTTCCTCAAGATACATATTTTTCAAGTTTTGTGGTTTAGCCCTTGACACCTGAAGTCTATCCATTTCATTTTAACTGTATTAATGCCAAGTCAAGACCAGAATGAGACAACAACTAGCTCAAAAAAGCCATCATTTCTGTGCAGGTCCTGTTCAGTTGCCTAAGCTTGGTCCTACGGCCGGCACGGCGCACCCACCCACACCTCCATCCTGGCGGAGTGAAATGAGAAATGGACTGCTTGATGTAGCCATTAAAATACAATTAATCTGCCATTTCTGCTGCCCCAAATTGATGAACACAGAACTCATTTATAATTGCTTATTTCTGCTTCACAATATTCCTTCCAGTATTTCCATTCTCTAAAAAAGTCCATTAACATTCCATTATTTTTTTATAACCCTTAATGTTGATTGGAAATATGTCTTCATATCAACTTGAGTAAATCTGACTGTCCCCATACACTGGCCACACTCC
The DNA here is from genome assembly GCF_000001405.40 of Homo sapiens. Lineage (NCBI taxonomy): Eukaryota > Metazoa > Chordata > Mammalia > Primates > Hominidae > Homo > Homo sapiens. The sequence continues at coordinate 82,169 of NT_187682.1, forward strand.
ACCTGCCCAGAGGAGTGGCAGAAGAACCCTATATTTTGTTTGCTTCCCGGCTGCGTGGCCATCGAGAGGCCAGGAATGGGACAGACAGGTTCTGATCATGGCCTCCTCTGGAGAACCAGAGCTACCCTTTGGGGGTTAGAATGGGAGAAGGAAGAGACGCATTCACTTTAAAGTAAACAGAAGAGGAAACAAGGTTAAAATGAAGTTTATTATTTTTTTGATTTTTTGATTTTTTTTGTTTTTTGTTTTTTTAAATAAAACTGTTTGTGAAACAGCTATTTTATCCCCATGGCAGAGTGACCCCTGAAAGATGCACTAACCCCTTCTTAAGGCCATAACAAGATTTTTTTGTACTTTTTTCTTTTTTTAAAACTCAGATATTTAAAAATTATACAATTTACAAAACAAAACAACACAACATAAAGAATCACGTAGCATGGGGCTGCCTATCTGACAGGTCCTCTTTTCCTTTATAAAAATGAAAGCAAAAAGAAAAAGGGGTTAAATGGGTGTTCCTGGTCAGCTTAACCCACTCTGATCACAGCGACAGTCCCTCCCCGTCCCTGCCTACAGCTCACACTGCCAGCTCTGGCAACACAGGCCTGGACCTCCTCCCATCCCCACGGGTCCCTGTGGGTCAGGGCACAGCTGCCTGGAATGTGCTGAGGACAGGGGGCCCCAGAGGAGGGTCATCCCTTGATTTTGCTGCTGCTGTGTACACTTGATGGGGTCCTTGAGGTCCTCACCAGCCACAGTGACCCAGGACACAGCTATGACCTCAGGCATCTGCCAATTTCACCCCCAAAAAGAAAAAATTAAAAAAAAAAAACCATAAATAAATAGTGTTTCTGGAAATGAAAAAAAATTTATTTTTGTGTTTAAACATCATTCCCCTACTCTTGAAAACATGGACCATCCCTGTATTTCCCCCTCCCCCAAAACCTTCCCACTTTGAGACAAATTAATGACAAAAGGATGGTTCTGCTGTGGTTTGCTTTTTCAATCCTGGGTCTAGTGTTTTCTGAACTGGTGTGAGACAGGCTAAAGATCAACGCCACACACACACCCCGTCCTTCATGAGATGAGGGTTTGTTCAGTTCAATCTCACATTTAAATTTCACTTGTCATCGGAACAAATTTGGAGATCTTTAACGAGATAATTTTAAAACAGAATCAAAAGGGATAGCGCACCTTTCATTTAAACAAAGTCTTTCCAGACTAAAAATAGATTTATATATATATATTTATCCCTCCCTTTTAATTCCCCCCACCCTTTCCCCATCATCCCACCCCTCCCCCCTCCCCCCACATTGTCACTATGGAGATTGTGTCCATGGAAACAGCCATTCCAACGTCTTGGGTCTTTCTTTCCTGTGGTGTCACTGGTTTGAGTGTGATGTGAGAACTTAAGGAAGTGCTGGCATGGGCAGGCACGCGGGCGGGGCGGGGCGGGGCAGGGCAGGGTGTGGCTGCACGGTAGGACGATTTCCATTCCATCACGAGTGTCCACCACCTTCTCATCTCCACAGTCTCACCTGGAAGACAAGGGACACACAGTGAAGGCCAGGAGCCTCCACAGGGTCCACCACCAACAGCCGCTGTTCCGTGGTACCCCTGGGAGCTTTCAGCAGGGAGCCTGCACTCACGCCCCTCTGCAGATGTGCTGCTGATATGGGACACACCCGAGACCAATGCCAGGGCCACTGTGTGGCTCTGGATCTGGAATGTGATTAAAGGCAGCAATGACCTAGTGGGGGTGCTGGGGTTGGACTCTGAGGGCTCCTCAGGGCATGTCTGCCTTCCTAGTGCATAAAGGAACCAGTACAGCAGAGAACTCCCTGACCTCAGGGCAGGCCCCACTTGTGGGGCAGCTGGTGGGGTTTTGCCAGTGTCAGGACCCCAGTTGTGACTGAAACCTACAGTACCTGGTCAATCTGTGGAAGAAACTTCTCGAAGTCCAGCCTTTTAGGACAGTTTCACAGCTGCCTCTAGTCAACACAGCTAGTTGTTTGTTTTTGAGACAAGACATCGCTCTGTCGCCTTGGCTCCCTGCAGCCTTGACCTCCTGGGCTCAAGCAATCCTCCCACCTCAGCCTTCCAAGTAGCTGGGACTACAGGTACACGCCACCATGCTTGGCTAATGACAGTCTTTTTTTTTTTTTTTTTTTTTTTTTTTTGAGACAGTCTTGCTCTATTGCCCAGACTGGAGTGTAGTGGTGTGCTCTTGGCTCACTGCAGCCTCTGCCCCCTGGGTTCAAGTGATTCTTGTGCCTCAGCCTCCCAAATAGCTGGGATCACAGGTGCACGCCACCACACCCGGCTAATTTTTGTATTTTTAGGAGAGATGTGGTTTTGCCATGTTAGGCTGGTCTAGAACTCCTGGCCCCAGCTGATCTGCCCACCTCGGCCTCCCAAAGTGTTGGGATTACAGGCGTGAGCCACTACACCTGGCCCACAGTCAGTTCTTCATGCTTAAAAAGAACACTCTTCCCATGGCCTCTAACAGGGAGGGCAGGTTTTCTGAGGCTCAGACAGAGCTGGACTATGTTAATCCTTTCGACCTCTCAGGAACCTGAGACCCCTAGGTCTCCCATCCCCAGGCTGGAGGGCTTCTCTCCTCTTCCAGCCCATGTGCAGAAGGGGATTCTGATGGCCCACGTAGGACAGATGGATTGTACCAAAGGTCCCTGTGGAACGCTTCATGGGCCATCTGATGTGGAAAGGTCTCAAAGACAAACAGCAGTTTCCTAGGAATCAGTCCAGTAAAATTTCACCAGAAGCCAGAAGTGGTGGCAGCCTTGCCCCTCCTTCACTTGCTATCTGCCAATCACTGTGCTTAAGACTGTCACTGGGGCTCACCTAACTGCTTCCTCAAGACCAATTTGGTGCCCTCCCCTGACAAACCCCAAGAACCCAAGTGTCACCAGCCCTTTCTGCTTCCATAAAGTTCACACACGCAGAACTGCTAAGGCGGCTGGGGCCTGCGGGAGCTAAGATTGAGCTGTTCCCAAGCACGTACATGCACATGCTCTTGCCCAAGGAGGTTCCTGACTACTTGGCAGAAAACACCAATAAGCAGGAACACACACAGAGGCCATGGCACAACATCACCACAGACAAGTAAAAGCAAGCCCTGGGAATGCAGGCCAGCAGTTGAGCTAATGGGCACCTACCTCCAAGAACACAGAAGGGTGTCATCTTGTTGGGGCTGCAGGATGCCCGTGTGAATCAAGGCCAATGCCCACACGTACCCTGCCAGGCTCTGCTCAAGGAGGGGACAGGGCAGGGTTTGCCCTCTTTACCAATACACAGCAGTCTTGGGCCTGCACCCCAATCTTGCTCATTACTCAGAAGAACAGGACCCCACACCAGCTCCCCAGTGAAGAATGAAGCACATGTCAGCAGCCAGGGTCTGCCTGGCCAGTTGGCTCTGCGAGCTGCTACTTGTGGGCCCCTCCCTGGGGCGCGTGGTGGCCCAGGCAGCGGCAGTTCCTCAGCACCTGCAGCCTGGGGCTCTGCCCTCTATAGCCTTCGTGTTCCTCAGGTCTGATGACTAGACCAGCCCAAACACACGATATCCTGAATGTAATGGGACCCTAACTTTTCAAGAGTTACTTTAAAAAAGTTGTTCCTTCAGTAGGGAAATTAGGAAGGAAGGAAAATTCTCTAAGCACTATGTGCCAGGCCCTGGGCTAGAAGCTTTACAGATATTATATCACAGTAACGTGGATCTGCCTGACCCCCATCTTCAAGAGAGCTAAAGCTCAGGAAGGCGACACATGTAGCCCAAAGCGACGTGGCCAGAGGTGGGACTGGGGCTTTCCCAACTGGGCCCTAGGGGCTGCGTATGCTAGGGCATGGGGTGTGGCTGAGAGACGGCTGGGTCCCCGACAGTGAGCCTGGGAGCAGCCCTGGTGCCAGCCAGCCTGAGCAGCAGGAGCGACCTGCCGCCCCTGTGCTGAAGACTGTGAATTCTCTTTTAAAGAACATCACCTTGCTCCCCAGCTGCCAGCATCCAGGGTTTCGTCTTGGGCCAACACCTTCCCAGGCTCCCTCACTTGTTCCCTCCCTTCCCTTCTCGCTCACACTGTCCTTTCTGCTCCCCTTTGGCCTCATCCGTGGCCTGAACCCGGGACGCCATCCTCGCGTCCTTCCACATCAGACTCCAAGCCTGCCTTTCCCAACTGCAGCAAAAACTCATCATCTCAACACCACTCACCCTGGCCAGGATTCGCCCAGAGCCCATTTCCTCATTTCTAAAACAGACACTAATTCCGACTAGAGAGGGAGGATATGAAGGGAAACCTAATTCTGAATCTATACTGATTAAGGGCACCGATGGTCAGGGTCCAAGAGCCCTTTTTTCCCTGGGATGCACTCATTTCTTTCTTTTTTTTTTTTTTTTTTTTGAGATGGAGTCTCACTCTGTCGTCCAGGCTGGAGTGCAGTGGCACGATCTCAGCTCACTGCAAGCTCCACGTCCCGGGTTCATGCCATTCTCCTGCCTCAGTCTCCCGAGTAGCTGGGACTACAGGCGCCCACCACCACGCCCGGCTAATTTTTTGTATTTTTAGTATTTTAGTGTTTTAATTTTTTGTATTTTTGTATTGTTAGCCAGGATGGTCTCGATCTCCTGACCTCGTGATCTGCCCGCCTCCCAAAGTGCTGGGATTATAGGCGTTAGCCACTGTGCCCGGCCTGGGATGCACTCATTTCTTTAACACAGACTCACTTGGCACTAGCATAGTTACATGCCCCGCTCTGGGCTAGGCTTTGATGGTGCAAAGACAGACGTGGTCCCTGCCCTAATGGAGCTTACAGTCTAGTGGAGAGACAGGTAGTAAACAAGTAAATGATCTGAAATTGTGGTGATGCTAGGATGGCTGCAAGCGAGGAGGGGGGCAATGGAGACAAGGATTTAGAAAGGGAAAGGCTTCTCTGAGGAAGTAGGATTTAAGCTGAGACCCAGGAGATGGGAGCCTGTTTTCAACATGAAGATGGGGAGCCAAAGTGTTTCCAGCACAAGGAACTGTGTGTGCAGAAGCCCAGAGGAAGGAAGCCTGGTCCCTGAGGAGCTGGAGGCAGCCAGGGGCCTGGAGAGTCACCTGAGACTTCCATAGGGCTCTGGAAGGCAAGGTGAGATGTCTGGGCTTTGTGTGGAAGATGACAAGAATCTCTGACGTAGAGAAGGGACAGGACTGGAGGGAGGCCTAATGAAGATTGCACTTGGCTGCTGAGCAGTGGCAGGGAGGCGGGCACTATAGCAGCCACAATGCCTGGGCTGGGGCTGGTGGGGAAGGAAAGTGGACAGACTCAGGCTCTCCTCTGGAGGTGTAACCCTGGACTGCCTCTGGACCAGTTTGGGGAAAGGGGAACTCTAGAATGTGACATTCATGCATACACACAAATGGACTGTGTGATGTCCAGCTCCAGGGGCAGGGGGGCCACGCCCCGTTCCCTGCCTTGCTCAGCGTCCATCCATGGCTGTTCTGTGCAGGGTACATAGCATCCAGGATGCAGCATTAGCCCTGATCAAGGTTATGCTTCCCATGTGCTGGACCACAGGGCCTGTTAGGGCAAGCTGGGGCCTCCTTGTTTAATTCACGACAGGAGGAAGAGCTGGGTATAGGGACTCCACTGTCAAAAGCCCTGCCAACCAATGACACAAGCCAGCAAGGCAACCCCCTTGGCACAAAGAGACAGTGGGCAACCACGGGCCTGCAGAAGGACTTTTCCCCTCCGCACTCCTGGCGAGGGTCAGGTACCAGATACCTCACAGGCTGGGAGGCAGGGGCGGCATCTTTTAACCCCAAGCCTTGGGTATTTTTTGCTATAAGAGACAGCTGCAGGGTCCAATCTGCTGCCTTGACCCCTCCAACTCCCAAGAGAAACCCACAGCTAGGCATGGCAGATCAACGGGCTGAGAGCCAGTGTGCTGTGCTGGCACTTAGAGACATTTCCCAATGGAATCTCAAAAGGTTGGCACTGCTATTCCTGTTTTTACAGAAGAAACCGAAGTACAGAGACATGGAGTAGTCTGATCTTAGTCACACAGCACCTATCATATCACTCTGTCAGAACATGGCGCACTAGGAGGCAGACACACACGCACATTCGCTGTCTGTTCCCTGCCTTGTCAGGGCACCCAATAATGGTGGCTCTCTGTCCCCAGCATGGGGCCCAAGATGAGTCCTCCTTTAGTCAGAGGTGTGATTCTATCCCCAGTCACCAGGGCTTCTACCACAAATGAAGGACGGTGACCACCCTCAATGTCACTGCTGAACTGGGAAACCAGGAAAAGCTATATGCCTTGTGGGAACAGCACATAAAAAACATTTCAGATGGACAGGACTGGATGCAGTGAGTCCATCCTCTCCCTCCAAGAGCTGAATGGAATGGTTCAACCTCAATGGACCTGAGACGACTCTCTTCAATGGGTGAGGCCACTTCATCACTGTGCTTCAACCCAGAAGGATGAAGCTCATTGTTCTGTTCAAGAGTTGGCCGGGCGCCGTGGCTCACGCCTGTAATCCCGGCACTTTGAGAGGTCAAGGCGGGAAGATCACTTGATGTCAGGAGTTCAAGGCCAGCCTGGGCAACATGGTGAAACCCCATCTCTACAAAAAATACAAAAATTAGCTGGGCGTGGTGGTGCACACCTGTAGTCCCAGCTACTCGGGAGGGCTGAGGCGGGAGAATCGCCTGAACCCCAGAGATGGAGGTTGCAGTGAGCCGAGATCGTGCCCCTGTACTCCAGCCTGGGCGACAAAGTGAGAATCCGTCTCCAAAAAAAAAAAAAAAAAGAGTCAAGGGCCCTGACAGCTAGGAAGGAAGGCCCAAGAATGACTAGAGAGGAACAGATGAACAAAATCCCCAGGAGATTTGTCCACCAGGCCCAGGGCCTGAACTTTCTTTTTCTCAAACACAGATGCAATTCCAGGACAAAAACAAAAAACACTTAAGCTCTTTCCTTAACCAGGTCTTCTAGGACACATTCCAGGAATACGCATCGTGGTCCCCTACAGAACTTGACTCTAACCATCTTGGCCTGTGCTGGCACAGGGGTGACAATGGGAAGGCACAGTGACACCCTCAGGAGCGTAGGGACATGCAGGAGGGCCAACAGAAACAGTCCTTTCAAAACCACGCAATGCAATGGCTGCCTTGTCCTAAGGGCTAATCCCAGGAAAAGGAGCAGGCAGTGCTGCCCAGCAGGTTCTGGAAAACCAGCAGCCACTCGCTGATGGTGGCAATGTACTCCAAGTCCAAGAGGCTTCATTTGCTCATCTGGTTCCTCTGACCCAGGAACACATGGAATGGCTTCCACCCACCTCCCCACTTTGCTCTGATCCCTTCACTGCCAGCCCTACTCCCCGGAAGAGGAAAGAGAAAGGCACCACACTCAACGCTCTATCAAGAAGGCACTCAGCAGCCCCCACTTGACTTCTCAAATGGCGTGGCAGCCGAGGGGCCTTCTCCGGAAATTAGTAGTGGTAACAAGGAGGAGGGCACGTTCCAGAAGGTGGTCAGGCACATGGTGGTGCCGGAAGGGACACGTCTAGCGTAGCTGTGTGAGTCAAACTCCTGAGGTCGACACAGAAGTCCTCCCATTTGAGAGAAATGACCCCTCAATGAATATTTCTGAGACAACTAGTCCTCCTGCCCCATCCTGTAGCAGCAAGTGCCACAAGGTACATTTTGGTTTTTCTTTTCTTTACAACCTATTTCCCTTCATGCCTCAGTGACGCAGGGAGGGTGAAGGAGCAGCATGGAGCTCAGAGGCCTGCAGCTTCTAGAGACCCCAAGTCCTATCATCCTGTTTTCACAGATGCCTGCCAAGAGGGCCGTGACCACAATAATCCCACACAAACTCACAGCAAGCACAACTCAATCACAAGAATTTTTTTTCTTTTTTTGAGACAGGGTCTCACTGTGGCCCAGGCTGGAATGTAGCGGCACGATCATGGCTCACTGCAGCCTCAACCTCCAGGTTTGATCAAGTGATCCTCCCAGCTCAGCCTCCTGAGTAGATGGGACTAAAGGCATGTACCACCACGCACGGCTAATTTTTTTTTTTTTTTTTAATGTAGACACAGGGTCTCACTGTTGCCCAGGCTGGTCTTGAACTCCTGGGCTTAGGCGATCCTTCTGCCTCAGCCTCCCAAAGTGCTGGCATTACAGGTATGAGCCACCATGCCCAGCCTCGAGATTTTTAAGAGTAAAATTAAATCAGATGCTAGAGTCTACTAAATCTTTGAGGATTTTTCTTTCCTTTGTACTTCTGCAAAAAGGAATCCTTCATAATACTGGAAAAAAAAGATTTCTAATAACAAAACCCAAGAGTTCTGTTGTTTTCAAAGGAAAACACACCATAAGCTTTACAGAAATGTAGTAAATTAAAAAGAAGAGACCTTTGACTGGAACCCTTTCTGAGACGGGGGAAAGAGCAGGGGCTACTGGCAAGAGATGCCCTGCCCAAGAAAGAGACCTAAAAGCCTGTTGTGTCCACTCACAAGGCCACCCCTGGCCAGCTGTGCCCTGAAGGGCTGCCTTCAGGAACAGTCACCCTGCACCCCATTGGCAGTGGACAGTTTAGAAGCCCCCACTCCTTTCCACAGATAATCTGGGGAGCTAAGTAACCAATGGAAGAACACTGCATCCACCTGGCGTTGTCATCCACAGGATGAAATGCTGGTGGCAGAGCATAGAGCGAGCAGGAGGGCAGAGGCAACGACGCCTGCTGGGAGCCGGGCAGGATGCAGGGAGCCCGGTGGCCCCGACTCACCTGTGCTTGCTGTCCTTTCCATTCCCACGAGCACACTGCCCCCCTCACCCCCGCTCCGACTGCTCTGTGCTGAGGCTGCCTTTCGCGGTCTTGTTCTGCAAGGGGGGGAGAGGGCACGGAAGGGGAGGCTGACACGGGCAAAACCAAGAGGAGACAGACAGGTGGGAGAGGACAGTGCAGAAATCAGGGAGGGCAAAGGGAGGACAGGAGTGGCACATGGAAAAGGAAAGAAAAGGCAGAGTCAGTCCTGACCGACAAACAGGAGACATTCAGACAGGGTTTTCTGAGGCAAAATGTGACCCTTAAAAAGGGGAGTTCTAAAAATAACATGCAAATTAAGTAAAAATAAAGAGAATATAAGATCCTGTGACCACTCCCCGCCCTTCCCCAGAAATAATTTTTAAAGAAAAGCATAAGCAAGCATCTTTCAGGAGCATTTTGAGGGCAGACCTCTCTGGACAACCTCCTTCTAGTACTTTCGGCCCTACTAGATTTAAGACTGCGAGTGACCAGTGACCACCAGGTGTCAGTGTGACCTCAGCCAGAGACACAGTGCAGCCCCTGCAGGAAACATCAGGTGGCAGTGGTCTCCGTTCTGATCCTTTCTTGGGGCTCCTTCTCCATATACACCCTCCCCACACACATATGTGGTATCCACAAACAGACCATTCACCCCTTACCTCCCACCCTTTCCTAAAGGAAGCGACCACGAGACCACCTCCTAAATAAACTGGGAAGTGGAGCCCGAGACAGCCCATCCACTGTGCATCAGGCTGCTTCTGCAGAAGCACAACCTGGAAGAGACTGAGCTTCCCCAGAGCCTTGTGGTCAGCTCGACTTCTAGTCTGGGAAGATGCCTTTGCACAGGCCTCAAGGCCTAGAACCAGACTTACCAAACGCCAACCTGTGAATTGGGGTTCTATTCACCTCAAGTGGAAATCAGTGGCTTGATCGAGTTAGATATTCTCACCTCTCTTAATGAACAGACAAACACCCCCTCTCCCAAAACACATTTCTCCTGGGATCCTCATAATACTCCGAGTGCTGGCCCCCATGCCACGGGTCTCCCTTCAGCATCATGCCCCTCCACCCTCCCAGGGCCAGGAGGGGACTAACAGCCGGAGGCACAGGTGGGGACAGGTGTGGGTGAGGCCCACCAACACCTGGTCTTCAGGTCTTTCAGGAGGAGCCACCCTCGATCCCATCCCTGCTGGTAGCTCTTGGGGCCTCTGACTCACCTTGTGCTTAGGGCACCTCACCGAGAAGTTCTCCTCATGTAGCAAACAATCTGGAAGACAGAAGGGGACAGTCAGATGGAGACTTCACAGCTGGACATAGGTGTGGTCATGCTGGCTGGGATTGACAGGGTCAGACATAAAGGTAGCAGGTCGCTACACTTACTTCTAATAGGAAAACATTAGAGACAACCCAAGTAAGCTATGATACCTTAACATGATGGATATCGGTCACTTAAAAATTAACATTTGAAAAGAGTTAATGGTATGGAAAACACCCATGAAACAAAACTGCTTGAAAAAACCAGGATGTACAAATGTATAAATGTGCTAATTTTATTAAAATGTTTCTACGCATTAAAAAAAGACTTGGGGCTGGGTACCATGGCTCACACCTGTAATCCCAGCACTTTGGGAGGCCGAGGCAGAAAGATCACTTGAATCCAAGAGTCAAGACCAGCTTGGGCAACACAGTGAGATCCTGTCACTATTAAAAAAAAAAAAAAAAATACTGAAAGGCTGGGTGTGATGGCACTTGCCTATAGTCCCAGCTACTTGGGAGGCTGAGGTGAGAAGACTGCTTGAGCCCAGGAGTTCAGACTGCAGTAAGCTACTATCACATCACTGCACTATAGCCTAGGCAAGCAAAACTGTCTTAAAAAAAAAAAAAACTACTTGGGAGGCTGAGGCAGGAGAATCACTTGAACCAGAGAGTCGGAGGTTGCAGTGAGCCGAGATCACACCACTGCACTCCAGCCTGGTGACAGAGCGAGACTCCGTCTCAAAAAAAAAAAAAAAAAAAAAAAAAAAAAGACTGAAAGGAAATCTATGAATATGTAACAATAATTCTCTTTGGGTAAGAAGATACAGCTGATTTAAATTTTATCTTTTCTATATTCCCACGATATCACCAATAAATGCTATTTTAAAAATCCTTGATTCTAGGCTAACCCCATTTCTCAGGCTCAAGCCAAAGCCTCCTTGTAAAAACACTTTAAAATCTAGACGCGTATTTTCTTCTCTGTACAGAGAATGCCCAGGTGTCTGAGACAGAAAGGTGGCCAGGCCCAAGAGCCCCACTGTCACCTTTGCCCCACGACCCACGGAGACACAGAAGCCTCCAACACAAATCACATAATCCACACTAAATGCTTCAGAGGAAGGTAAAATCCCATGAGGATGCTTTTAATCCTTGGAGGAAAAATGATTCATTCCAACTTGTAACATGATGACAGCATCCTGGATGGCAGCAAGGACACATCTGCCTCCAGGTGAGCTGAGCTCTCACACAAGGGTAGTGCATGGATCAGGGCAAGGAAATCTAATTAATGAGTTCACTCTGCACACCACAGCTCCTGGAGACCGACAGCCAGGTCACTGGTGCAAAACGCGGTGGCAGAATGTTAATAAATATTGATAACACATTCTCAGAGAGCTCCCAGGCACCATGGCAGGAGGCAGCCACGGTACTTATCCTTGTTAAATTTAAACTGAGATCCAGACTAGCAGCCTGTGCACCCACAGATTTCAAGTGCAATAGTAATAAGCAATGAACATACACATGAAAACTTTTCAGGTCCCGGTATCCTAAAACAAATCAAAAAGACCCTTTTATATTTGGCCAGACCTGGAACATCATAGCCTGTCTTTCGTTGGAGCCCATGAGTATCTAAGAGAGTGGGCGGCAGCCTTCTTGGCTCCGTGGGCCCAAGAGCTCAGCAACTTACTACTAACCTCCAAGCCCCTCCCCCAGCAAGCAACTAGCAAGGCAATAAATGAAATGTGTTAATTTAAAACCCACAAGTACATAGTGTGACCAAGACTCCCGCTGCTCCAATCTGCCAGAGAGTTTATAAACAGCAGGAGCCAGACAACTGGAGCTCAGGGGATATGCTCTCTTCTTACCTGGGCTCTGGCAGCAAGCACTATGCTGGCTTAGTCTCTAGTTTGGGCCAAACAGAAACAGTACAGCACACGTGGGGCTGGGCCACGCTTACGCCACAGGGGTTTATACCAGTGAGGACAGGGACCACACGAGCAGCAAAGGGTGCCATCAGAAAGGCGCAGGTGGCTCAGTTCCCTCACGGCCACAGAACAGTGACCAGCTGTGATGGACCATTAATAAAACACGCCTCATGTTAGGAAATGCGTTCCCTCTGAGTTAGAAGCAGAAAAGAGTAAGACACTATGAATGCACGCTAACGACAACTTGAAACTAATGCCAGATACATCTGGAAATGAAGTCTCCTACAGCAATCTGCCTGAGGCAGTGTCCATCTCTGACAAGGCCTCCCATGCAGGAACACTGTGCAGACAATGCCCTCCTCTGTTCTCATACATGTCCACAGGCCGTCAGGAAGCACAATTCACGTTCCTGGCAGGGGCCAGAACCACAGCTAGAGAGCTCAGAAACCTGGAGGGCACAGGGGAGCTTCTCCTCTTACCAGTCCCTGCTGGGAGGGAAGAGTGAAGAGCAGTAGGTGTAGTAAAACCTCTTCTGAGGACTCTGAACAGGCAACTGCACCTACATGGCCAGCCAGTCAAGGTCTCTCAATCTGTGTTCTTCAAGGCCCAGGCACCATCCTACACTGTCCAGAGGGCGCAGTCAGCACTTCTGCATAGTGAAGTCAAAGTAAACAGCTTGCGAGATCATCATCCAAGCTCAAAAAGACCTACAAGGTGGCCTAGTCAACAAGATGGCTTGCAGACACAAACATCAACCCCCAGAAGAGAAGGCCACTTTCATTTCCCTCTTCAAGCTCAAAGGCAGAATGGATTTACTAAGCTCCTCATTATAAGCTCTGTGAAGCTTCAGATACCCACATGCATCCACATGCTCCCAGGCTGAGGATGGTGGGCTCAAGGAGGGAGGTAGGAAAAACAAGAAGGGTTTAATGTCCTTTGGATCTGTTGTGTAGCAGACACAGACTCCAATTCACCTACACTCTACCCCAGTACTACTGTTATTCCTTATGTTGGCACACTGCAGGGCTTGGGACACAGGGGCCTGCCAGCCCCACCCTGCCTTGCCGAAGGGTAGGCTCAGGCTCCTGGGCCATAAGGAGGGAAATATGGGGCTCTTGGCACTGGGACTGGCTCCTGTGAGGCAGACGGCTGTCCCCCGGGGAGGAGTCAGACTACTGGCATTTCCTAATGACCCATCCAGGGCTCTGATGGCACCAGCAAGATCAAAGTCTGCAGCAGAGATAGCAGCTTTAAAATGCTACTGCAACGAGAGCTGCAGAAAGTAGAATTCCCAGCTGTTTTTTCATGAGAGTAGAAGAAAAAAAAAAAACCCTCCACACAAGGTTCTTTACGCACAGTGGAATTATTAATGAGCTACCACAGCCTTTTTTTCTCGTCTTAATTGTTGTGGCTCATTGCATTAAATACATTAATTAAAAAAAAAAAAAAACAGAGCTCATGCTCTTATTACTGTAACCCCCCCCACCTGGAGCCAAATCCTGTGCCTATGACATAACAAGCAACACAAAACAGCTGACCATGATGTCAGAAATGCAGGGTCAACATCAGGTGGGGGGGAAGGTGGCAGGAGTCACAGATCATGAAACAAAGATTCTGTTTCTATGGAGATGTCCCAGTAATAAAAGTCTTCCCTGAGACATCAACAGCTCTTTAAAGATCTGGGTGGGTTGACAGCAAGGCAGAGATGAAAATGTTAAACTGCTCTTTACTCCATAAGGGAGGTTAGGGATTCTCAAACCAAGGACTTATTTTTGTTATGATTAGAAAGAAAAGTCCATCAATAAACTTGTTTCCTGGATACAAAGTTACATCATACACAGAGAGCAATTTCCAAGAAGACTGTGTGGAATAATACAAGCGTCCATCCCCACAGAGCAGTGCAGGCCTCTGGGTCACTGTGACTTGGGTCATCAAAAAGACCGCAATGACCAAGACATGGTCATCTTGTGAAACTGCCTCTGGGTCCCAGGTCTCCACATGAAGGAGCAAAGTGCACAGCAGCAGAGGCAGCAAAGCCAGAGGCCGACAGCCCTACCCTCACTCCTCCCAACCCAGACCCCTCTGTCTTGCTGGACACGCGGCCACCAACTTCTGTTAAATAGAGATGCTACCAGCTTAACTAGGCAGGCTACCAAGATGGGCCCCAAAACAGAAAATGACAGACACCATTTACTCACAAGTCCTCAGCTAATAATGAGGGTCCTGCGCTTCTCTGCTGGTGGGCTGGGGTGACAACCTGGGCACAAGCTTCCACTAGAGGAGAGGATGTTCCAGTGCTCTATGGCCCCTTCCAAAAAATCCCAACCATATTGCCTGAACTTGGGTTGAGGAGGGTAGCTCTAAGCCTGTGCTGTTCAGCCACTAGCCATACATGGCCACTTAAGTTTACATTAAAAAAAAAAATTCATTTCCTCAGTCCCACTAGCACTCAATGATCACATCTGGTTTGTGGTTACCACATTGGAGAGTGCTGAGCTAGAGCGTTTCCATCATTGCAGTATGTTAGGCTGAGCTTTGCTGCTTGACATCTTAGAAGCTGGACCAGAAGGCAGGCTATCAGCAGAACGGGGGCAGCCTCCAGGGGGGCCCTTGCTGAAGTGTGCTCGGGTGGGATGTGGCACCGGCCTGTCAGCACACCCTAATGTGTCCCTGAACACAGCCTCAGTGGGGGACCACTTCTTACCCAGCTGCGAACTGGGAGAGCCAAAACTCACAGTATTCCCAATATAAAACTAACAATCAACCATAAAAAAACTTAATACTTAAAAATCCTCATATATAGCTGGGCATAATGGTACATGCCTGTATTCCCAGCTAGTTGGGAGGATCGCTTGAGCCTAAGAGTTTGAGTCCAGCCTGGGCAACACAGTGAGACCCTGTCTCAAAAAAAATTTTTTTTTTTTTCACTTAAAAGCCATTTTCTTGGCCAGGCGCGGTGGCTCACGCCTGTAATCCCAGCACTTTGGGGGGCCAAGGTGGGCAGATCACAAGGTCAGGAGATCGAGACCATCCCGGCTAACACGGTGAAACCCCGTCTCTACTAAAAACAGAAAAAATTAGCCGGGCGTGGCGGCGGGCGCCTGTAGTCCCAGCTGCTGGGGCGGCTGAGGCAGGAGAATGGCGTGAACCCGGGAGGCGGAGCTTGCAGTGAGCCGAGATCGCGCCACTGCACTCCAGTCGGGGCAACACAGCGAGACTCTGTCTCAAAAAACAAAAAAAAAAAGCCATTTTTTTCAACTAGAAACAAAACTTTATATTACTGCTCCCCCTCTTTCCTGGCCACTAGACTACAGGGAAGAAAACACAATATTACGATGTAACTAGAGGTAATGAAAATGAGAAAAGGCAACTGGTTGGCTCTTTTAAAAACTTATTTTTATTTGAACAGACCTGTTCTTGCTATGTTATCCAGGCTGAACTTGAACTCCTGGCCTCAAGTGATCCTCTAGCCTCAGCCTCCCGAGTACCTGAGATTACAGGTGTGAACCACCATACCTAGTTAACTGGTTAGCTCTCTTTCTTTTTCTTTTGAGACAGAGTCTCGCTCTGTTGCCAGGCTGGAGTGCAGTGGCGTGATCTCAGCTCACTGCAACCTCCACCTCCCGGGTTCAAGCGATTCCCCTACCTCAGCCTCCCAAGTAGCTGGGACTACAGGCACGCGCCACCACACCTGGCTAATTTTTCATATTTTAGTAGTGACAGGGTTTCACCATGTTGGCCAGGCTGGTCTCAATCTCCTGACCTTGTGATCCGCCCACTTCGGCCTCCCAAAGTGATGGGATTACAGGTGTGAGCCACCGTGCCTGGCCCAACTGGTTAGCTCTTGAAAGAGAAGGATTTAACAGCTGTACTACAGAATATGGCAGACCATGACCCAGGGTAAATTACACCTTAGACTCAACATGAAAACATTTGGAGGAAAAAAGAGAACAGAAGGGATGGACTAAAACCCAAACTCCCTGAACTGACATTTCAAGGCTACTTCATTTTTGTTTTGAGATAGGGTCTCACTCTGTTGCCCAGGCTGGAGTGCAGTGGCCCAACTGAGGGTCATGCAGCCCCTCCTGGGTCCTTCCATCTCAGCCTCCCTGGGTAGCTGGGACTACAGACAAGGGCCACCACGCCTGGCTAATTTTTTGTATTTTTTGTAGAGACAGGGTTTCACCATGTTGGCCAGGCTGGTCTCGAACTCCTGGGCTCAAGCAATCCTCCCACCTCAGCCTCCGAAAGTGCTGGGATTACAGGTGTGAGCCACCACACCTGGCACTCTGTTTCTGATTCCCTATCTTTCCGTTGATCAAATAGTGCCTTGGCCATCAAGCTGCCTTTCAGTCCACATGTACGTGTGAATACACACACTTTTGTAATAGTCTAACTGGCATCAGCATTATCTTCTCTACCTCTCTTGTTCTTTTTAACTGTTTCTCCTACAGAAGCTTGGAGAGAAAAGAGGGAAGGGGGAGGTAAGGGCAAGAAGGATGTGAAAGGAATGGAGACATATGCTTAAACAAAAGTCAGGAGCTGCAAGCAACTGCTGCGCTGGAAGGAAGGGGGGGGCAGGATGAATTCTGAGACCTGATCCAAGTCTGTTGGCCCTGCTCTGTGTATGTTATGCCTCACGCCTGTTCCCATCATGCAGTCAGCCACGCCCTCTTCCCCTTCCCATCAAATTCAAATCAAACCCCGCCTCCTATGGACAGCGTGGCTGCCTCCGTGGACAGCCCTGCTTCTCTCCTGGGGAAGCACAGAGAGGGGGCATGCACATGACAAGCACCATGCTACTTGCTGCCTTCTCTCACCACTTTTCCTCAAACGTGACCACAGGCATTATGGGGGCTGCCTGGGTGATGGTCTTAGATACATCTAATGCTCAAGTAACTAGAGGACATTATGTCAAGTGAAATAAGCCAGGCACGGAAAGTTAAAAGCTGCATGTTCTCGCTCATGTGGAAATTTAAAAAGCTGATCTTACGGAAGTATTAAAAAGTAGAACAGAGGATACTAGAGGCCAGGAAGGGGAAAGGAAAGGAAGAGATAAGTAGAGATTTGTTAAAGAATACAAAATTACATCTAGATGGGAGAAATAAGTTCTAGTATTCTGTATCACTGTAGGATAACCACAGTTAACAACATTATATTGTATAGTTTCAAATGACTAGAAGATACCAAATGTTCCCAACACAGACATGTTGTTTGAGACGATGGATTTGCTAATTACCTAGGTCTGATCATTTTATATATATATTGAAACATTACTGAGCACCCCATATCTACAATTACTGTCCATTAAAAAAAGTAAAAAACGCTGGGCGCGGTGGCTCACGTCTGTAATCCCAGCACTTTGGGAGGCTGAGGTGGGTGGATCACCTGAGGTCGGGAGTTTGAAACCAGCCTGGCCAACATGGCAAAACCCCGTCTCTACTAAAAATACAAAAATTAGCCGGGCATGGTGGTGGGCGCCTGTAGTCCCAGCTACTCGGGAGGCTGTGGCAGGAGAATCACTTGAATCTGGGAGGCAGAGGTTGCAGTGGGCTGAGATCATGCCATTGTACTTTAGCCTGGGCGATAAGAGCGAAACTTCGTCTCAAAAAGAAAAGTAAAAAACTTAATAAACTTGAAATTAACACCCACCTTGCCGCCAAAAAAGTAACTGGGGAAAACACCCACTGAAGGGACTAAAAGTCTAGAGTAAGAAAGGTGATTTTCCCAGGTTATCGAAGCTCTGAGTCAAAACTCAAGTCTTCTGCGTCACTCATTGGATGGCACTTCTTTAACAAAATGTTTCCCTTCTTTCAACAGTTAACACACTGCAAAACATCCCCCTATCATCTCAGCAAAGAAAATACAACACTCTATTGTATGTATACAACGTACTGTGATTTAGAGTAAGAAATACATATTTTAGTCTTCATCCCTGATTCCTGGCACAGACCTCCTAAAACCCGTGTAAATTCCTGAGCAATTAGGGGTGCTAGGAGCATCTTTTCTTCTAATATTTGGTTTTTGATCCTGGTTCCTGACATGGAGCTCCTAAACCCTTGGAATTTCCTGGATAGGAGCACTTTTTGTTCTAAGGCTACTCTTGGTGGTTCCTGGATGGGGGCTGGGCACCAGAGAGACGAAGCTGTGATTAGCAGCTTGGAACTGTTAGCTCTACCCACCCCACTCCAGGAAGGACAGAGGGGGTGAAGATTGAGTTAATAATTGATTATGCCTACATGATGAAGCCTCCAAAAAATCCGTGAACTACTGGATTCAGAGGGCTTCTGGACTGCTGAGTAGATGAAGGTGCCTCAGGGGTGGTGCCCCTGGAGAGAGCATGGACGCTCCATGCCCCTGCCCACACATCTGGCCCTATGTTTCTTTCATGTGGCTGTTCATCTGCATCCTTTATAATGGGTAAACACAAGTGAAGTGTTTCCGTGAATTCTGTGAGCCATGTTAAACATTAATCAAACCCAAGGAAGCGGTCTTGGGAACCCCAGTTTATAGTTGATCACTCAGAAACACAGGTCATAACACAGGGCTTGAGATTGGTATATGAAGTGGGGAGCGGTCTTGTGGGACTGAGCCCTTAACCTGTAGGGGCTGCACTAACTCTGCTTAGTATCAGAACCAAGCTAAACTATAGGACACCCAGTTGGTGTCCAATGGTGAATTACCTGTGTGATGCTATCAAGAAAAGAAAGTAAAAAGACAACTCAGAGAATGGAAGAAAACATTTGCAAACCACATATCCAGAATTACAAATAATTCTTTTTTTTTTTTTTTTTTTTTTTGAGACAGAGTCTCACTCTGTTGCCCAGGCTGGAGTGCAGTGGCGTGATCTCGCAACCTCTGCCTCCCGGGTTCAAGTGATTCTCCTGCCTCAGACTCCCGAGTAGCTGGGACTATAGGTGCGCGTCACATCTGGCTAATTTTTGTAGTTTTAGTAGAGACGGGGTTTCACTATTTTAGCCAGGCTGGTCTTGAACTCCTGACCCCATGATCCACCCGCCCGGCCTACAAATAATTCTTAAAACTTGACATTAAAAAGATAAACAACCCAATTTTACAATGGGCAAAGGATGTGAATAGCTATTTCTCCAAAGAAGATGTACAAATGGCCAATAGGCACAAGAAAAAAATGCTCGACATTAGCCATCAGGGAAATACAAATAAAAACCACAATGAAATAACATTTCATACCCACTGGGCTGGCTACAATTAAAAAAAAAAAAAAAAAGAAACACATATGACAGCAAGTGTCAGGGAGGACCTGGGGAAAGGAGAACACTCATGCACTGCCACTGAGAACGTAAAATGGGGCAGCCATTTTGGAAAACAGTCTGACAGTTCCTTAAAAGGTTAAACAGAGTTACCATATGATCCAGCAATTCTACTCCCAGGTACACATCCAAGAGAACTGAAAACATGTTCACACAAATGCTTGCATGTGAATGTTCTATAGCAGCATTATTCATAACAGTCAAAAAGTGGAAGTAACCCAAATGTACAGCAAAGCCCACAGAGATAGAAAGGATTGAGTCCAACAGAGCTTAAAGGGAAAAAAAAATCATAAAAATTTAAAAAAGAAAACAGAATAGTGGTTGCCAGGGACTGGAGGGAAGGGAAGGGAGATGAGTGCTGCTAATGGGTGGGAAGTTTTTTTATGAAGTGACAAAAAAAAAAAAAAAAAAAAAGAAAAGAAAAGAAAAAAAACAACGACAACAGAGAGAATCAAACTGTATGTCCTAATCCTTTGGATGCTCTGGACAAGGGTCTGTGGTCTCCTCTTACCTGCATCAATGGCACACGGGTAATGGTATCGGAAGGAGCAGCCTTTGTTGTAGCAGCCCAAGGTGGCGCCTGCCTCCTGGCAGTGGGAACATTTCTGAAAGGAAGGGAAAAGTCAGGCATGTCAGTATCCCAGATTTGGCCCTCTCCTCCAGGCCTTCCCTGGTCCCCATCTGTTAGACCTCAGCACGTGTCTCTGTGGTTAGAGGAGTCCGTGGTGGCAGGATGAGCTGGTCAATTTCTAAATGCCATTCACTGACCACACCATGGGAAGGGATCCAGCAATAATGTTTTAGACCAAGCCTCACAAATGTTCTCAAATCAACAATACAGCAGGGTGAGATGAGCAATCCATGTCATAAAGGACATGCCAGAGTGGGGTCCCCAGCCCTGCCTCTGGTACCCCCGCCATCCACCCACCCACACACTATGCCAGGCATTTCCTTGCTGCTATCGTGAGCGGCCTGCAGATCTTCCCTGTTTACTTCTGCTGTGAAAATCTGGGGTAAGAGAGGGTAAGGTAGTAGAGTTATATATAAACCTTTTAGAATTAGAAGTGGAATTTGGTTTCTAGTTCTTGTATTTGTAAGAAGATTTTATTTTTATTTTTGATCTACTTACCCCAAATGCCCAATACATTTCCCTTTTCAGAAAATATGGGCTCCTGTGTGCAAATGGTATTTTTATACATGAATCTTATTTTAAATGCACCAGAAAACCTGCCATGAATTTCTGGCTAAGTGAGACATTATTTTGTAATTGAGACACTCCTCCTTATATGGTCAGGTTTTCTTAAAGTGGGGCACATCTCTGTCAGCCCTGTGATGTGGCTGCTGTGAGTGCTCATCCTGTCAGGTAAGAAATGTGTCCTATCAGCAACAAACACATTCATAAAACTCAACCACATGTGACCCTACTAAGGATGCTGGCTCTTCAGATAGCAGAGGCACACAACCAGCAAGACTAGCTGGAAGAGACAGAAACTTGTTCCTGCTTCTATGAAAAATAAAAGTGTTCCCTAAGCAATTACACTGAGCTGGCTCAGGCCCCCGACACAGATACTGATGGAAAACTACACTAACGCCAGCAACAGCAAAGCCCAAGCGCTCGCCACGCTCAGACTGAATGATCTCATCCAGCCCTCTGCACTATTCCACCTGGCAGGCACTCCTAATGCTTCACGTGAAACTCTTGAGACACCAAAGGGAAAATAACTTGTTCCAGGTCAGAGCTGAGATTCTGGATGATCATCTCTGGCATCCTCCAGAGACAAAAGAGGTAGGAACAAGGGCTGGAAGAGATTAGTCCTTCAAAAGCTTTGCCCTGCTCTCAGAAGATCAAGGTCCTTCTGGGTGCCCATAATCAGTAAATGTTTATCATGTGCCCTCGCACCCTTGTTAAGAGAGAAAAGATCATTTGGTCTGGAGTAAACCAAGGACAAGTTCACAGCATTTCTAGTAGCCCTAGACTCTGTCGACCTTTGTCAGTGCCACAGAGCATCTCAGAATCAAAAGGACTATCAACTTCAGAGAAGGGAGTGTGGGTAGTCCATCGGTGGCCAACCTGCAGCCATGTCTGCTGCCACTTTCTTTTTTTGAGATGGAGTCTTGCTTTGTCGCCCAGGCTGGAGTGCAGTAGCGCAATCTTGGCTCACTGCAACCTCTGCCTCCCAGTTTCAAGCCATTCTCCTGCCTCAGCCTCCTGAGTAGCTGGGATTACAGGCGTATGCCACCACGCCAGGCTAATTTTTGTATTTTTAGTAGAGATGGGGTTTTGCATATTGGCCAAGCTGGTCTCAAACTCCTGACCTCATCGCATCTGGCCTCCTGCTGCCACTTTCTTACTCAAGAGGCCCGAAGATATGGCCCTCCCTACCCTGGGGGATGAATCACAGTGAGTGGTGGCCATTTAGGAATGGGTATGGTCAAGCATTTCTGGTAGGAAAGTCTGCAGGAAAAAGGGCTTCTGAAAACATTTTGCACTCCCCCCAACCTTTTTTTTTTTTTTTTTAATATATTTTGAGACGATGTCTTGCTCTGTCACCCAGGATGGAGTGCAGTGGCACAATCATGGCTCACTGCAGTCTCTACCTCCCAGGCTCAGGTGATTCTCCTGACCTCAGCCTCCCGAGTAGCTGAGACTACAGGGTGTGTGCTACCACATCCAGCTTTTTCAAAAAATGTTTTTGTAGAGACAGGGTCTCACTATGTTGCCCAGGCTGTCCTTGAACTCCTGGGCTCAAGCAATTCTCCCATCTCAGCCTCCAAAAGTGCTAAGATTACAAGCATGAAAGTTTCACCCTCTCAAAAAGAGACAAGAGGGAGGAACAGGTAATTTTTCTTGCGCAGCCTCTGTGAGGATTAGACAGTGGGATCTGTGGCAGCCACAGTATCACCATGAGGGGACAGCCCTGAAGACAAAGCCAGCCTGCTGAGGACAGAAGAGTGGCAAGATGGAGAGACCTGGGCCTACCATGACACTGTCAAGCACTAAATCACCCAAACCCAGGACCAGGCCACCTCTAGCCTTGTTACAGGAAACTTGGGTGCTGCTGTAGAAGGGTTAAGTATGCATGCTCTGGAACCTAAATAACTGCCTGGTAAGTGGCTCCACTTTCTAGCTCTGCCTTCTTGGCCAAACTCCTAACCTCTGTTCCTCAACCTACAGACGTGGGACTAATAATAGCACTCACCTCATAGAAATGTCATAAGGGTTAAATGAATTAATTCAGGCTTAAAACAGTGGCTGGGTCAAAAGTGCTAAGTAAATGTGACCCAAGATGACCATGTGTCAGACATATGCTAGATAATCTACAAAGACCATCTCATGAAAAGCAACCACACAGCAGGCCTCATCACCATCCCGGTTTACAAGAGGAAAGAGAAGACGTGGAGCTTAGATCTGAACAATGTCCATTTGCTTCCTACCTCAACTCCACAACCTGGCAAGCAGTGTGCAAACTCCACTATGATTAATTTATAACATTGCATCCAAAGGGGAAAGACTCTCAGGCTGTATTAGGGACTTAGAGAAAGATCCTTAAAGACAGTTTAGTTCAGTGGTTTTTGAAGTGTGGTCCCCTGGAACAGCAGCATCAGCAACACTCAGGGACTTGTCAGAAATGCAGTTTTGTTTTTTGGGTTATTTTTGAGACAGAGTCTCGTTCTGTCACCCAGGCTAGAGTGCAGTGGCACAGTCTTGGCTCACTGCAACCTCCGACTCCCATGTTCAAGTGATTCTCGTGCCTCAGCTTCCCAAGTAGCTAGGATTACAGGCATGAACCACCACACCTGGCAACTTTTTGTTTTTTTACTAGAGACGGGGTTTCAACATGTTGGCCAGGCTGGTCTTGAACTTCTGACCTCAAGTGATCCACCTGCCTTGGCTTCCCAAAGTGCTGGGATTACAGGCGTGAGCCACTGTGCTTGGCAGAAATGCACGCTTTTGAGCCCCACCTAAATCTGTGTTGTGAGAAGTCCTCCAGGCTATTCTGATGTACAATGCAGTTTGAGGACCACTGGTCTAATTCAACTCCCCAACTTTTCAGATGCGGAAAAAAGAAACCCAGAGAGACACAATGACTGGGTGAGCTAGGATTACTGGATTACTGGTTTCCTGAGAGCCATTCAGTGTTCTGTCTCCTACAGAGCAATCAGATCTTGGGATATGGTAGGCAGAATCCCAAGAACCTGTGATCTTATATATACAAAATCAACTTTGTGGATGAGATTAAGTCAAGGACCTTGAGATGGGAAGAATATGCTAGGTTATCCAGGTGGGCCCAATCTAATCACACAGGCCCATAAAAGCAAACGATTCCCCCCCAGAGGGAGTTACAGTTGTCAGCTTCAGGGAGACCTGATGATTTGCCAGCAGGGTCATAGGTGCAATGCTGCTGGCCTGGAAGATGGGAGAAGGGACAGGGCGGCAGCTGCAGAATTTTTAAAAGGCAAGGAAGCATGTTCTCCCCTAAGACTCTGGACTTTTCCAAAGCCCAGCCCACACCTCAATTCCAGCCCAGTAAGACACCTGTGTTGGACTTTGAACCTACAGAACTGTAAGCAGAACTGTATTAACAAGTTTGTGGTAAGGTGTTATGACAATGATAGAAAACTAATACACGGGGATTTCCCAAGACTCTCAAGTGATTGTTCATTTTCCTTTTAGGTTCTTTTTTTTTTTTTTTGATGGAGTTTCGCTCTTGTCGCTCTGGAGTGCAATGGCATGATCTCGGCTCACCGCAACCTCCACCTCCCGGGTTCAAGCGATTCCCCTGCCTCAGCCTCCCGAGTAGATGGGATTACAGGCACCTGCCACCACGCCCAGCTAATCTTTGTATTTTTAGTAGAGATGAGGTTTCACCATGTTGGCCAGGCTAGTCTTGAACTCCTGATCTCAGGTGATCTGCCCACCTCAGCCTCTCAAAGTGCTGGGATTACAGGCATCAGCCACCGCACCTGGCCTTAGGTTCTTTAATGCAACAGATTTCTCCCTCAATTTGCCTAGTGAAACCTACAATTTCACTAGGCAAATTGTGACATCAGGAGATCAATAAAGAAGGAACTCTGGGTCTGTCTTCGACATCTGTTTTTCTTGTAGAAGAAACAAGAGGCTAAAGCAAAGTGACCTGCTAAAGATCACATAGCTAGTAAGAGAACTTAGAACTTTACCTCTTTTTCTTCTGAACCCCAAGTTCAACTTTCTTCATACCATACCATGACGCCTGTTAGCCCCCTTCATTCACTCAACTATCCAACATTTGAAAAGTACTTTCTAGGTGCCAGGTGCCAAAGATAGAATATAAATACTTATCTATAGTATCTTCCATGTGTAAGGTTTTCCCTTCTACCCAAAAATCAATACCCAGGCCAGTACAATTTCTAATTAAATTTTTATTCTATACTTTTTACCTGGAGTAGCTATTTGCATTATCATCCTCCTATGCTACAAATAATATATTAAAGTCACTGCACAGCTAAATGTCCTTTGTTTTTGACCACAGTGTTACTACATTCACTCCAAGCAGAGGTAAGTCCATACAATACTGCTCCCCAGGAAGAATGAGACACATTGGGGGCTCCAAGCATGATTTCTAAATTAAGACACATTTTAAAAATAAGGAATGGCCCAAACTTCAAAATCTTTTAATAGTAAATTTTTTATTATGGAAGGGAATAAAAACTATTTTTAAAGAACTCTAATAAGAACCTCACATTTTTTGATACTCTAAACTTGGGAAATAAATTATAAAAGGTATTATTAGTTTTGGGACATGTTTTAACGGAAAGTGGCCCAGATACAGAGCTTGAACCTTTCACCAGACTTTGTCACTGTCTCAGAGGCAGGGCTCGCTGACTTGAGGTAGCAAACTGCAAGGACTGAGTCAACTAGCGTTGTTTAATCCTTATCTGAGGGAAGCTTTAAGGGAGCCTTCTCCAAGCCTGATGCCTGCTCATTCACAGAAAGGCTCTTTCTTATGAGATATAACAGCAACCTGAATCATCATCCTGTTTAATTAGCATCTCAGAGCAGCCTCAGAACACCAAAGCAACTGGGTCACAGTAGTATTATAGCACACTGATGACAACTGGTTTTGTTCAAGCCTTGCAGATTACCCTCCACTACTGTGCCTAAGACGGCTCTTATCCAGCATGGCACACACTTCTGCTCATGCTCACAATATTTACTTACTCATGTTTGTCCATCTCCCCTAAACTGTGAGACTTGTTCTTGCACCCCCCAAGGACTGGCACACCATAGGCACTGTAAATGTGGGCTGATGGAATGAATGCAATGTCTGACAAACTTGAGAGCCTGAAGACAACTAATGAGGATACTCTTCAATGAGTTACAAAACTGATGCTGGTGGAGCTTGGAGAATGTGGAACAAGGTATGTGTTCATTTTTGGCCACCAGCAAAAAGTTTTTTGTCCTTTTAATTATGCCTCCTACATCTAGGATGGAAGCCGCTGTCCTCCCAGCTATCAATGCCAACTACGTGGCAGCTAGATGGGCTACATACAAGGAGCTACCCTTCAAGGCCCTGTGAGCATTTCTTTGATGCAACTCTGCATCCTATCAAGCTTCTTAAAGACTACTTCAAAGTGTTAGCCAAAGCAATACATACATAGCCCTAGGTGTTTTGGTCCTTACTTCCTTAGAGCTAGACGATCTCCTTACGTTTCTTCATGAAAAGCTCATGAGACTGGCTGGAGAACCTTTAACTTGCCATTAACACAAAGACTGAGGGAATGGGCTCTGGCACCAGCCTCTGGGACCTGCACCACGGCCCAGTACCACCAAGGCTTCCCAGTCAACCTCAGAGGGACAGAGACTTGTCCAGTTCTTCTCAGGTCCATTTACTCAGTGCTACTCAAGTTATGGTACATGGATTTAGAATCTGCACTTATGTCCTACAGCTGCTCCGGCAAAAGTGCCAGTTTCAGAAACTGAATCCATTAAATACACACTTAATCAATTATGATGTCAGTATGAAACATCAGCCAGCCACTCACTGGCTAAGGGCTAATTGTGTGTACTTAAGACAAAAGTTCCAGGCTTGACTAGCTTTTTAGAATAAATGTGGTTGGTCTAATGTGCATACTGTCCAGGTATGATGCAGCACAGGGCTACTGGAGAAAAAAACTGAGGGTGTCAGCACACGTGTGAAAGCCAAAAGTCACCAGGTCAATTTTATCATCTGTAAAATGGGGATAACAGTATTTGCTTTGCCTTCTGCCTAAAGCTGCTGTGTAAAATAACCATAAAAGTGTTTTACAAACTAGAAAGTTATGTAATTATTAGAACTTTTAAATAAAAATTACATAAAACATACATTCATCTCTGTCATACTTTGGCAATTACTGATATCAAAATCAGATATAATACAAAGTACAGTCTATTAAATTAAGACAAACAGTTTAAAGTTAATTTTTTGTTAAGTAATTTCTCTCCTACAATCTGCCTTAAACAAGCAGACCCTGCATGGGTCTGGACACCTGCTGCTGGTCGTTTTTTTGGTAAGTCTAGCTGCTGTATGTTTCAGTAATGTTTCATCTCCGACGGTGTGGAAGGTCAGTTCTTGGCCAAGTCTCTGGACACTTCACTTCTTAGCTACTATTTACTATTACTTTCATTGTATCTCCCCTCTCAATTCTCCTATCTGGGACCAATACAAACTAAAACTATTTTTAAAGCTTTCTAAAGCATTTTGCATTACAAGAAAAGATGTTAAATAAATGGGGACTAATAATGACACACAACTGCATACAAATTAAATTCTAGCAGGATTTCGAAAGCATTGAAAACTGCCCCAAAATGGCATATTGAGCACAACTAGAATGAGAAAAACCGCCTCACAGGCTTGCCTGTTGTACTCTACAGACAGTGCCCTCTGTTATGTGGAGAGCAGACCTGGAAACCAATGACTCCTTTGCTGCCTGCATCAGAGTCACCTGCCAGGTGCTCCTAGCCATACTTCTCCAAACCTGTCCCTACTCACATTAATCTAGAATAATCTGCTGTGGCTGATTCTGGACCCTCTGCTGCCATGTGGATCTTAGGTCCAACAGATGGTACTATTCCTTACAACACACTTAGGGCCCAATAGTTCATCTTCTCTGCCTCCTGGGACCCAGTCATCTGCTTCCCTCCAATACAAGCCCATGAAAACACTCACACAAACTTTCTTTAATCTGATCATCTTTCAAGCATAATTTGAAATAAAATTATATATTTAGATCACCATTCTCCTCCCATAAAAGCCCCAATCAAAACATGGCTCTGCTACAGATCCTGACAAGTATTTGTTTCTTTGGGAAAACCTTTCAAGTCAAATTATAAACCTGTAATAAGTGTCTCTGTGGCTGAGTGGTGGTTGGGTGGTAGCTGGCCCCAGAAGTGGTACAAAACGCACAGAAAGCCTGACCCAGGTCCAAATCTCTTGAGTGTGGCCGTTTTGGCGGCATCTAACAGCTACATCCTTGGATTCTGTTTTGATCCACAAAGAAAGCCCGTTCCCTTATTTCCCTTCCGATGTCTTTGTGCCCATAAGGTGGGACCAGCCTGTCTGCAGTTTATAGTAAAGTTATGATGTTTTCCATCAGGTTAGAAAGGTTGGGATTAAAGGACTTTTCTCCTTCATTAAGAATGTCCTTCTTTGTCTTTCTGTACTTCATCTACCAAACAGAGGATGTCAGAAATTAGCCACAATCTTGAGCAGATAAAGAACATATTCAGAATACACACAGCTTTATACAATGGACTTACTCATTTTAACACTGAGCAAACAAATAATGAGAAGTTAGTAGGTCTAAGACGCAGCTGGGGAAGGAGGTCTTTTCTCCAGAAGATTCTGTCACATACCTCTTTTTATGCCATTGTTGCTTTAAAAAATCCAGATTCTCAGGCCGGGCATGGTGGCTCACGCCTGTAATTCCAGCACTTTGTGAGGCCGAGGCAGGCGGATCACCTGAGGTCACGAGTTTGAGACCAGGCTGGCCAACACAGTGAAACCCTGTCTCTACTAAAAATACAAAAATTAGCTGGGTGTGGTGGTGCATGGCTGTAATCCCAGCTACTCGGGAGGCTGAGGCAGGAGAATCGTTTGAACCTGGGAGGTGGAGGTTGCAGTGAGCGAGATCATGCCATTGTACTCCAGCCTGGGCAACAAGAGTGAAACTCCGTCTCAAAAAAAAAAAAAAAAAAAAAAAAAAATCCAGATTCTCACCCGTGAGCTGTGTTATGAGGAAGGGACCTCTGCAATAATGTGAAGGTAACCCTTGGCTAACGAAAGTAAAAACACCAGACCCATGCTTCTTCAGAATCATAAAGTGTAAGTTATTCTACTGAATGTGAAGAAGGCAGTTTGACTTCCTAACGAGCTGTTCTCTGGGACTTTTAATTTGCCTTATTAATGTGTCAATCCTGATTCCACAGCATAAAACTGCATGTCCAGAAAGTAGAAACATGGGTTGGATGAAAATTAATAAGAACTTGATCAGGCTGGTCTTTCCCCTTGACATGCAGGTTTCTCTAAAGGTTGTAAGACACTGTGTGATCAAGGTGCCTTTTATTCTCAGGGCTCTTTTCTTTGATATTTAAGTTCCCTTAGGAGTTGATGGTATCGACTTCAGAAGTATAATAATCTTTTCTTTTTATTCATTCTACAAATTTTTATTGCATGCCTGTGTGCAGGGGCTGAAATGGGGAGCCAAAAGTTCACCTAGTGTCTACCCTCCAGGAGCTCACAGAATGATCTGGGGGTAAAGCAAAATTTAAACAGTGATGTAAACAGTACTTCAGAGCGCAGACTTAATGCCACCAACCTAGTTAAGGAAGTCAGGAAAGCATTCTTGAGGGAGTGTAGCTTGACCTGAGTCATAAAGAGTGAGTAAGAGCTACCTGGGGGGAAGGGGAACAAACTGCTTTGTGGAGGGACAAGCAGGCAGGGTGTAGGGAACCAACACAGTGGAGCACAACTCTGAGAGGGTGGGAAGCTGATATGCAGGAACCCAGGGCCAACAATGGCTGTTGCTGGGTTAGGGATGATATGGAAGAGTTTGGGTACTGGTGGTGGAAATGCATACAAGAGGCAGCATAGACTTCGAAGGTAAAACCGACAGGACTTGATGCTGACACATGGCCAGGGGGTCTGTGAGATGTGTTGCAGTGAGCCTGAGTGTGTGGCAGTGTAAATCAGCACAGTGGACAGGGAGCCCTCTGGATGCCAGCACAGCAGGATTCTGATGAGGTGAGCACACACGTGGCACCTGCTCTAAATGCTACTTTCTCCTAGAAAGATTCCATTTACAGAAGAGAATGTTTTGGACTGAGAGCAAAATCTCAACTGGTCAGGAATGGGTTTAATTCCAAATGACATTTTATGGGTAACTACGAGAAACCTTTTATAGAACACAGGCTATCTTCCTGCTTTAGTAAATAGCTCAGGGTTTTGAGTAAACTGATTGTTTTCCGTTGTCTTAGAGTTATGATTCTGTATTAAGAGTATTCTTGTAAGACACGAGGAAGAGACTAGGCTTTATCAAAGTGATCCCAGGACATAGCCTAAAACTTGCTTTTTAAAATAAATCCCTGCTAGCAAGCTTTTTTTCCGTATCATTTTACTTCTCCTAAAGTAGAGGACAACAACGACAAATCTAGTCAAAGAAACTGTTCCAGTTAGTTTAACTGACAATTCCTCTGTGTACCTTCCTTATATTCAGATATTCCTTATCAGAAATCTTTTTTGATTTTTACCTCAAATTTAGGCAGTCTAAAAACAAAGACAAGAAATAAGGAAAAGAGAGAAAGCTG
Source organism: Homo sapiens (assembly GCF_000001405.40). Taxonomy (NCBI): domain Eukaryota; kingdom Metazoa; phylum Chordata; class Mammalia; order Primates; family Hominidae; genus Homo; species Homo sapiens. Next base: position 112,265 of record NT_187682.1, read on the forward strand.
GGGCGGAGAGGAAGTTCTCGGAGTTTTTCACTGGAGCGGAGCTGTCCACTGAAGCTGCTGATCTGGAATAGCAGCAGGGCTAAAAGAAACTTATACTTGGCCCTGTCTCTCACTGGTACAGGAGCCTAGGCAAGTTAATTTAAGTCTTGATTTTCTCAACAATACATTGGGGATAATACCCAGTTGGGAAAAAAGGGCACGGTGGGGGTATCTTCTGCTACTTAAAGACACTGATCAGGGCAAAATAACCTGAACAGGGCCAAGTAAGGTGGCCCATGTCTGTTATCCCAGCACTTTGGGAGGTTGAGGTGGGAGGACTGCCTGAGGCCAGGAGTTCAAGATTAGCCTGGGCAACAAAGAAAGGCCCTGTCTCTACAAAAAATAAAATTAAATTTGCTGGGTGTGTTGGCACTCCCTGTAGTCCCAGCTATTCAGGAGGCTGAGGCAGGAGGACTGCTCAAGCCCATGAGGTCAAGGCTGCAGCCAACTATGATCACACCACTGCATTCCAGCCTGGATGACAGGGCAAGACCTTGACTGACACACACACACACACACACCCTGCACATACTTCCCAGGAAGTACCAGCACTGATCCCTAGTCATTTTGTTACTCTCTAGTCCCATGTGGAATGGATGGTCCCTTGAAACTACAAAGGCCGTCTGTGCTTGTCTGCAAGGCTATGGGCAGCAGCACAGACATCCAGGAGGAGTTAAAGCTAACAATCTACTATTGCTACTAAACCAAACCCAGCTATGCTGCCACACAAAGGGGTTCCTTTTGTCTATTTAGAGCGTATTTTACAGGTCAGACACAGTATTTAACCACTTATTCCCCACCCTCAGCTATCTGCTTTACTATGTACACTTTATTGATGTTTAAGTAACATGTGAAAATATGGCAGGTGATACTAATAATTTCTACCAAGGTGCCCACAAAAAAGAAAGTTCGTAATTATCACACATGGTATGAACTTCAACTGCAGATATGGTAGGCAGATATCAGCCACTTGCTGTGGGTTTTTAATGTTCTGTAACACTGTAACTCTAATTATCCTGGGTTTACAGCCTTCAGGTTCTGCATTAATAAATTTATGGAGGCAAAACAAAGGAGGAACAAAAAACAATTTCCCAAATAAAATACATCCATTTGCCTCAATTTAAGTTAAATCCAATCTATGTCCCCCTTCTGGAAAATTAAAGCATTACTCAAGAAGGCCTGGTTTAGTAATTTTTCTCTTGCACAAAATGTATACGTAGTTTGTTATAATGTTAATATGAAGTCTCATAACTCAGAAGGCCAACACAGGTGTCACTAATGATGTTTCTTTGTGCTAACCAAACTTGCCTTTTTTTCTGAAACACAGTTTGCATTTTATTATTATTTTTTAGATGGAGTCTCACTCTGTTGCCCAGGCTGGAGTACAGTGACGAGATCTTGGCTCACTGAAACCTCTACCTCCCGGGTTCAAGTGATGCTCCTGCCTTAGCCTCTAAAGTAGCTGGATTACAGGCACCCACCATCACGTCCAGCTAACTTTTGTATTTTTAGTAGAGACGGGGTTTCACCATATTGGCCAGGCTGGTCTCGAACTCCTGACCTAAGGTGATCCACCCTCCTCGGCCTCCCAAAGTGCGGGGATTACAGGCATGAGCCACTGCACCCAGCCTGCATTTTATCTTATCTACAGTTATATATACTCCATTAAAATAATCCTAATCAGAGGGTTTCTTTTATAGCCCCAAAAGAAAATTGCCACTGTGCTGAAAACCTTATATATTTTGTCTAACGGAGTTTTTCCTATGTTAAAAGGAGCTTGTGCCCTTTAAGAAATTAGAAAGGAAGGGCACAGAGTGCTAGAGTCCAGGACTAGGTATAAGCCATTGATTAGCACTTTTCCTCTGAATAAAAGCAGAGAACCTGAGAAAAGGCTGAACCCAGCAGGAGTAGGAGACCTGCGGCAGCCCTGTGATGAAGAAAGAGAAGAGCTTTTTCTCAAGTACAGGGAGAGAAATACTTACATAGTTTGAAACACTGAAATTGAAGTTGCACAAGGTCTTGCACTAGCTTATTTTTATTTTACCCTTTGCTCAAACAGTGGATTAGCTTATAAAGAGAAATGATTACATTTTGTGCTTTCTGAATCTAAAAAGGCATCTTTTTAAAGAAATTACACTCCAGGGAAGTGACTCTTGGTGTAAGCTGCTTCTCTCCATGGCTCATCCTACCCAGGAGTTGGGTCTGTGCTTCCAGAAAGCCAATTACTGGAAGCTGCTTATTCACAAGGCACCCATACTGAAATGTTTACAGTTTCAGTGCAGAAACGACAAACCTGCTGCCACAATAGGACTCCCTTAACAAGATTTCAAATCTGTGAAGATCATACTGAAGCGGAAATCTCCAAAGCTGTTCCAAACACTTGGCTCTGGAGGTCTTTCTCATTTTTACTCCTTTCTTCCTACTTGCATTCATATTACCTTCCTCTTTCGCACCCGGAGCCACTGCCATCTCACCAACGCTCTCGCCTGTCCATCTTCTCAAACAGGTTGAGGTATTGTCAGGCAAAGCCACCCTATTCCTGGAAGTGGCAAGTTTTTCAAAGGCAGGGGCAGCCTGACAGGACAGACACTGGAGGCTCAGGAAATAGCAGAGTCCCAGCAGAAAGGAACTTTCAAAAACGAGGATATCTTGATATACTGAAGCTAATGCCAATGAAACTACCACAGGATCACTGGTCCTCAAATCCTAAGCCAGCCCCTGCCACCTCTCAGCCAAGCTTCAGTGGGGTCATTTAATTTGGCAACAACATGAGACATAGTCTCACATCTCATTTCAGGTCACTCCCACAGGTCATGCTCAAACCGGGGCCTTTTCTTCCTGGAAACCTACTGGAAGGAAAAACTACGTCCACACTAGAATGGAAACTTTGGCACCCAAATCTGTGACTAGCTTATGAACCTTCAGTTTTCAGAATTGATTTTTGCATTTCTCAAAGGGTAACTCTGCCACCTGCACCAGCATGGTCCTAAGCTTGAGTTAAAAAACACAGACTGAGGACACTGTCCCAGAAGAGACTGAATGGGAAGCATCCCAGGTTCTTATCCTCAAGAAAGTTTTAGAACTATTGGTTCAATTCATCTTCATAGATATGGAAATTTTCTTCTACATTTCTGTTTCAGAAGATTCCTACCAGATTAGGAAGATACTCAGCAAGAGTACAATCCTCATTTCAACAGAAAAGGAAAAAGGAAAAAAAGAAAAGGAAACTCCAAGAGTCTCCATGAAGAAAATAGAGATCTGGAAGTAATATAACCAAGTTTAGAAATCCTGCATAATTCCTCAATACATCTCCTCCTCCTCCACCTACACTTTTTTTTTTTTTTGAGATAGGGTCTCGCTCTGTCACTCATTCATCAAGCCAAAGAGTTTGAGGTTGCAGTGAGCTTTGATTGTGCCACTGTACTCATAGTGGAACAATCAGAGCTCACTGCAACCTCAAATTCCTGGGCTAGAGGAATCCTCTTGCCTCTACTTCCTTAGTAGCTGGGACCACAGGTGCATACCACTGCACTTGGCTGATTTATTTTTTGTAGAGATGGCATCTCACTTTGTTGCCCAAGCTGGTCTCAAACTCCTGGGCTTAGGCAATCCTCCTACCTCAGCCTCCTGAAGTGATGGGATTACAGATGTGAGCCACCATGCCCAGGCCCAAGATTTAAGTGTCTATTGTTAGGACAGATTTCATTTATCCAACACCTTGACAAGGCAGTCCAGTTATTAACTCCATTTTACAGGTTAAGAAATTCAGCTTAGGGGCTAAGTGATGTTATAGTTTCCCAAGAAGCCAACTCCTACAGATGTCTGGATGAAGGATAAAATATGACCTAAAAGATTCTATAATTATGACTCTTTGCCAACAAAGACCGTCCAGTAAATTCAAGAGCCTCTGTGCTCTCCTTTGGGCCTTGTCTCTGGGCAGTGTGGTGGTCGTATAATAAAAGGTGGTTCTATCACATGACTTTTCTTTCAAGAGTGAGATTAGAAAAAAGCAACAAGTAGAGGATGGGACTGGTCAGATTATTGAAATTGTCTGAAAATACACCAATGACTAAGGGATTTCAGAGTTCCCAAGTCAAATTAAGGAGCTAAAGGCAACAACTGGGTGTTTGCTGGTGGTTTCAGAGCTCCTTGGGGGTCCGTGGGAAAAGTGAGTCTTTATGTGGCTGGATCATTTCCTGGGGTTCTCTACAGCTAATTTGGAAGATCTTAAACAGAGAATCTTCTGGAGCTGAGCAACAAGATTTTTTGTTGGCATATTCACCTTAAATGGAGCTTTTTTCCAAAGGTGGGAAGGGATGAGGTAGGTCTGAGAGAACAGAATGCTGGGTCAGCAAGTTAGTGAGATTCCATTATTGGGAGATGATTTGCTTCAATGAAGAACGGTTTCTGTGGCACTGCTAAAACCCTCGCCCTGCCAGGAGGCGAAACTAAAACATTAGTAGTTGATACAGATACTATCAACAACCCCGGCCGCCTTGCACAATGTTCCTCAGGTCTCTACCAGGGATGCTTAACGCTTATCCCTGTCCTGATGTACCCTAGTGAAGGAACAAGTTGTCACTTGGCCCACAGTGAGAGGGCTAAATACTAATGACTCTGCTTCTGCCTGGGAGAGTGTGGGGTGGGGGCGGGGGTAGCGGTAGATGGTGTTACTGAGAAAGCCAGGCAAAGTGGTTGTTCAGAGCAGAGAACTAAGAGAGTGCTCTTGGTGGACTGTGAGTTTCACAGGGCATGGTGGAGGAGACTGGCAAAGCAGCAGAGTGTGGTTCTTGACATGTGCCTATTTCCCCTGCCACTCACGCTTCAAACCCCCCAAGTCACTCTAGTAGTGGCAGGTCCAAGTGCCACATGGGGAGGGCAGGCCTCTGAGGCCTTACTGACTCAGCCCTCCCTTTGGCCGAGTTAGGTGTAGCTTCTCCACACTTACACAGACCTCACAGTATCCATAGACCATGCCTCCCAGCACTTACACAAGTGCTCACTGAACATAAGGTGGGGCTGCTTTTACCTGCTAAAAACTATCCACTGGAAATTCCTTCATTCTGAAATGGTCATTGTGCATTTCAATGTCTAGGAGGCATCTCAGACTTAACATGAACAAAATACAACTCCTGAATCCCCACCAAACCTGTTCTCTTGGGAGACCCTGGAGGAAGAACAGGTTTGGTGGTGATTCAGGAGTTGTGTTTTTCAACATTCAGGTGGCACTACATTCACCCAGTGGCAACTCACATTTTTGTCCCCAGAGACATACACTGAAACTCATGAACAACAAAGCCTCATACAGATGCCCTCTATAATGAAGGCAAAACCTGTTCCTCTGCCTTACAAAGAACCACAAGGACAAGAAATTAAGAATGCTGCTGGTCATCCATCTCTCATCATTTTTTTCCCCAAAACTATAACAGGAAAACAAAAATCAGTCTCACTACCAAAACACATTTTAACATCTCCTTAAATTTTTATACGTAGATTAAAATTCTGACCAGCATATTCACAAATTATTTCCAATATTACATACTTTTTTTTTTTTTTTTTGAGATGGAGTTTCGCTCTTGTCACCCAGGCTGGAGTGCAATGGCGCGATCTCAGCTCACTGCAACCTCCACCTCCCGGTTCAAGCGATTCTCCCGCCTCAGCCTCCCCAGCAGTTGGGATTACAGGTGCCCACCACCATGCCCAGCTAACTTCTGTATTTTTAGTAGAGATGGGGTTTCCCCACGTTGGCCAGGCTAGTCTCAAACTCCTGACCTCAGGTGGTCCGCCTGCCTCGGCCTCCCACAGTGCCAGGATTACAGGTGTGAGCCACCATGCCCAGCTCAATATTACATACTTTTAAACATACATATTTAAATGGCATCCAAAGGCCCACCTCTTCCCACTGGAGGTTACATTGCTTCTACGTGTCTCTTAAAGAACCTGTCAGTCACAAATTTACCCTGCACTGATCACCCCCCATGCCAGGCATTAGGGTGGGCTCTGGGGCCAACTCAGCCCTTGGGGAGCCTATCTGGTGAGGACGACAATCAGATAAGCTGGTAGTCACCCCAAGAGCAGCTCCAGCTTAGCTGGGCATTTGCATAAGTGCTGGGAGGCATAGGCTCTGAATACTGTTGGGTCTGTGTAACCTGCAAAGGGAAGGCTGAGTCAGTAAGGTCTCAGAGGTCTGTCCTACCCTCAGTGAGGAGGCACTCAGACCTGCCACTATTGGAGTGACTTGGGGGATTTGACCCATGGGTGCTAAGTGGTGTAACAGGTAAAATGGGAGTGCAGCTGGGCAGCACTTGCTGCCTGGGGAATGAGGTGACAGGTGAGCTGGTTTTAAATCGATGTGCTTTTCACAAATAATAGTGGATTAAAATGCCCAGGCCTGCTCTCTGAAGAGGAGGGAGACACAAAGTCTTATATCAGCAAACAAATACATTTCATTTTTGAGGGGTTGCCCTTTCAAAGCATTAGTATATTTTTATTACTTCAATAAAGAACCCTACCTAGAAACAAGCAAACAGAATAATTTGGGAACTGTCCTATCACTTATCCTAATGAATTACACTATTATCCTAGCAACCAGCTTTGTATGAAAAAACAAAAATAACTTTCAAGCAAACCAGAGGCCTTCACCTGACATGTGTCTGAACTAAGATTTAAGGTTCACAATCACAGCTTTCAAAGTCTGGAACCACATGGCACCCCTAGGGAGCCAGCCACAATGAATAGGCCTGAGACTTGTTAGATGAATATACATTTTACTAGAAACTTCCACTAGCTGCTCCGTGAGAAACACATAACAGAGATGAAATGCCTCCACCGCTGAACAATGTCAGGGCACCCAGGTCCCACTGGTGGTGCTAGTCCATCAGAAGGGACTAGCACCACTTCAGATTTGAGTTCGGCTGGAAATTTGTTATTCTGTTGACCCTGGTATTGTCTATCTGCCTGTGTAGCAGTTCTTCAATTCTATTTTCATAAGGCACGTTAACTGACAGCAGTATGCTGCCAACATCTTCAAATTAAGTGTCAGCTCTTAAGTGCATACAACCAAAATCACTCCACTATTACCAGGTTTACGTGGACAGCATCAGATAGGGCTGAATTTTCTCTTCAGTTTAATTTCCACCAATAAGTTTAGAGACAGGAGGGTTATCTTTACTAAACCAACACATGAGGACACAATTCTAAGGCTGATGCTAGGTAGCTCATAATATTTGCTTCCTTTAAAACCACATCAACTCAAAAGCTTCCAGGAATAGTTTAGCCTCCACCAAGGAGGCTACTTGATTTCCAGCAAAGTTAGTTTTATCCTTTACAGTCCTCTATCATCATCTAATTTACAGATGAGAAACTTTTTTTTTTTTTTTTTTGAGATGGAGTCTCGCTGTGTCGCCCAGGCTGGAGGGCAGTGGCGCGATCTCGGCTCACTGCAAGCTCCGCCTCCCGGGTTCATGCCATTCTCCTGCCTCAGCCTCCAGAGTAGCTGGGACTACAGGTGCCCGCCACCACGCCCGGCTAATTTTTTGTATTTTTAGTAGAGACAGGGTTTCACCGTGTTAGCCAGGATGGTCTCGATCTCCTGACCTTGTGATCCGCCCGTCTCGGCCTGCCAAAGTGCTGGGATTACAGGCGTGAGCCACCGTGCCCGGCTGGGATGAGAAACTTTTTAAGAGCTCTACTAATGCCTAATTTAGGGGCACCCCTGAAGAAAGGAGTTCCATACATCTCAATTTTCCAGAGAAGTGATTCAGGCTATGAGAAATAGGTACAGAAAAACAAATTGAGAATAATAAAATTCCAAATTAACAATTAATGGACATTAAACACAAAATTAACAGGGAACAACATTAATATCACTAATAAAATAAATGAAAAGGAACTAAAAGTTTAAAAAGAAGGTCCAATGCCACTGAGGTAGCAGTAAACAGGCTCACCTGTCCTCATGGATGCTCATGCCTTGTTATGACCCTTTGTTGATTAAACCACAAGACAATGCCTATCAAAAACCATAACAATGTTGGCCCTTCTTGACCTAGCAGTTCAACAGCCATAAATTTTTCTTTAAATCGAAAAATAAAAATGCTTATTGCTCCATAGAAAGTAGTAAATTAACTGGAAACCACCTCAATAAAAGTGCGGTACTTGAATAAATTACATTATACTCACGCTAAACTAAGAAAAAAGAAATCACAGATTAGAATGAAAATTAAAATTACAAAATAAAGTAAAAAAAGCAACACAGACTTGTATCTACACTGTGATGATGGAGACTCACAAGGTTTGAATCCTGGGCAAGCTCCTCTCTGGACCTCAAATCTCACCTGGAGTGTGATGAGACCCACCAGAAAGGGTTGGTTTGAGGTCTAAATGTGGTAATTCACGTATAGTGCTTAGAAAGCATTCAGTACATGTTAGCAGTCATTACAGTCATTCCTGGCATCCATGGAGGACTGGTTCCAGGACCTCTGCCAATACCAAACTCCACGGATGCCCAAGTCGCTTATATAAAATAGCACAGTATTTGTATATAAGCTAAGCACATCCTCCTGTATACTTTAAGCCATCTCTAGATTATGTATGATACCTAATATGATGTAGCTAATGCTATGCAAAGTTGTTATACTTTCTCATTTAGAGAATAATGACAAGAAGAAAAAAGTCTGTATATATTCAGAACAGATGGAATTTTTCCAAGTTTTTTTTTTTTTTTTGAGACAGTCTCGCTGTGTCGCCCAGGCTGGAGTGCAGTGGCGTGATCTTGGCTCACTGCAAGCTCCGCCTCCTGGGTTCACGCCATTCTCCTGCCTCAGCCTCCCGAGTAGCTGGGACTACAGGCGCCCGCCACCACGTCCAGCTAATTTTTTTTGTATTTTTAGTAGAGACAGGGTTTCACTGTGTTGGCCAGGCTGGTCTTGAACTCCTGACCTCAGGTGATCTGCCCACCTTGGCCTCCCAAGGTTCTGGGATTACAGGCGTGAGCCACTGCGCCCTGCCCCCTCCAAATATTTCCAATCTGCTGTTGATTGAATCTAAGAATGCAGAACCCATGAATATGGGAAGCTAACTGTATTATACTATTATATCTAGTGAAATAATCAGCACATGGACAAAATCTAGAAGAGTCAGATATGTTGGGTTATCAGGATTGCGGCATTCTTCTACGAACAGTTCCATTAGTTTTACAATAAGAATAATACTGTTATCTTTATGTAAATAATATGTAAATCTTTTTCATGACTCAGGAGTTCAAATGGGAACCCTGACCAGCACAGATGGTGCCAGCACCTCATCTAAACCCTGTGGCCAATTTTTCTTTTCTTCTGCCTTTTCCCATGTTTCTTGCTCCTTCCTATGGGCAGAGCGACGATTCCCACTTCAGAGCCCATTTCACCATAGAGTCATGTGGTAGCACTTTGCCTAGCCTCAATTCAGTGCATAAAGGCACGAGGCTGCATTCTGAAACTGAGGAAATAGGGTACAACTGTGCACAACAGAGAGGTTTTCTTCAGGCCCATAAAAATGTTTGACATGTGCTCTTTCTCAGTGTAATTAAATACAGTCTTGGTTTTTCACCACATTGTCAGTATCTTGGGAAAATTATTTTAAAAGTCTAAACAGGCCAGGTGTGGTGGCTCAGGCCTGTAATCCCGACACTTTGGGAGGCCAAGGCAAGTGGATCACCTGAGGTCAGCAGTTCGAGACCAGACTGGCTAACATGGCAAAACCCCATCTCTACAAAAAAAAAAAAAAAAAAAAAAAAAAAAAAATTAGCCAGATGTGGTGACAGGAGAATCGCTTGAACCTGGGAGGCAGAGGTTGCAGTGAGCTGGGATCGCACCACTGCACTCCAGACTGGGCAAGAGTGACTCTGTCCAAAAAAAAAAAAAAGCCCAAACAGCAAGTTATCCTTTCTGTTTCCCCTTCCAATTACATTTTAGGAATAATTATGATGATAGCTTAAATTTTTTTGGTATCTTTTTGGGATTCTCTGGGTTTTTTTTTATAAACATGACACAGACCTCATGATTTCCTATTTTTCTCTCCACTTTCTTTCAATTTGGATTTAAAAATTTATCAGTTTACATCTATTTGAAAGGCTAAATAAAAAGCAAGCAGTTATTTAAAATGCTGTATTAGAATCTAGTGTTGACTTATCTAAACATGTATATTAGGCTGAACTGCCTTCATATCTAATATTTTCTTGTCTAATACATATTAAACGCAAACCTAAATTTCTTTTCTTCAACCCTTCTTTCTGTTATTGGTATGTTGATGACCCCTCACCTCGCCCACTGACTTGCTGGAGCTAGAAACCTCAACTTCATCCTTGACCTCTGCCTCCTCACTTTCCCAAACCTGCTGCATCTAGTCAGTGTTTAAAATCTATCAACTTTAGCCGGGTGTGGTGACTCACGCCTATAATCCCAGCACTTTGGGAGGCAGGTGGATCGCCTGAGGTCAGGAGTTCGAGGCCAGCCTGGCCAACATGGTCAAACCCCATCTCTACTAAAAAATACAAAAATTAGTCGGCATGGTGGCACATGCTTGTAATCCCAGCTACTTGGGAGGCTGAGGCCTGGGAGGATGTTTGAAACTGGGGGGTGGAGGTTGCAGTGAGCCGAGAACGTGCCACTGCACTCCAGCATGGGTGACAGAGCAGGACTTCGTCTCAAAAAAAAAAAAAAAAAAAAGTCTATCAACTTTGAATCCCTAAAACGTTTCTCAGATCCATCCAATCCTTCTGACTCCCGTTTCTACCACATACTCGGTCCTTACCAGCTCTTGCACAAATTAATCCCACAGCCTCTCGAATGACCTGTCTGCTTCTGATGTCTCCCTACTTATTTCCTGAGTTTCCTTTATAAAACACAAACCTGTACATGTGACTTACACGCTTAGAAATCACTAATGGTTTTGCACTGCCCGTAAATTAAAGGCTAAATCCTTCAAATACAATAGATCCCTGATATGGTTTGGATCTGTGACTTCACCAAATCTCAGGTTGAACTGTAGCACCCAATGCTGGAGGCAGGGCCTGGTGGGAGGTGGCTGGATCATGTGGGTGCTATTCCTGTGATACTGAGTTCTCACAAGACCTGGTTGTTTGAAAGTGTGCAACACCTCGCACCTCACTCTGTCTTGCTCCTGCCATGCAAGAAGCCTTCCTGCTCCCCCTCTACCTCCCTCCATGACTGTAAGTTTCCTGAGGCCTCCCCAGAAGCTGAGCAGATGCAGGCATCATGCTTCCTATACAGCTTCCAGAACTGTGAGCCAATTCAACCTCTTTTCTTCATACATCACCCAGCCTCAGGTATTTCTTTACGGACTAATACAAGCCCTCTGGAGTTCACATATTCTCAGTATATTCACTGTTTTAGGGGAGGAGGTGGAATGCTATAGGGAAGTATTTGTCCTGAATCATTCTGTGGATACACCACACAAACTCAGAATTCTTAATTATTTTGGGCCTTTTAGTGCTGACATGTTAAAAAGTTTACTTAAAAAAACAACTTTAGACCAGGCGCGGTGGCTCATGCCTGTAATCCCAACACTTCGGGAGGCTGAGGCAGACGGATCAGTTGAGGTCAGGAGTTCGAGATCAGCCTCGCCAACATGGTGAAACCCCGTCTCTACTAAAAATACAAAAATTAGCCAGGCATGGTGGCAGGTGCCTGCAACTTCAGCTACTCAGGAGGCTGAGGCAGGAGAATTGCTTGAACCTGGGAGGCGAAGGTTTCAGTGAGCCGAAATTGTGCCATTGCGGTCCAGCCTGGGGGATAGAGGAAGACTCAGTCTCAAAAAAAAAACAAAACCAAACCAAAAAAACCCAACTTTACTACCAGGCAGATTCTTTTCTTTCGCTTTAGATAATCGCTATCAAAACTTTGTCATCTCACTAGAATGTTAATGCTTTTACTTAACATGCAAGGTAGATTTTAGTCCCTCCCTTTTGCCTTCTGTCTTTTGAGAGATATAATTCCTGAGTGTGTTCGTGTTGGCTGATGCTATTTCATAAGACATAATATTAATACTGCACCTGAAATACCTCACACCCTGCCACCCTTCCCCCCGCAGCAAACTTGAGTTTCCAACAAGAGTAAAAAGGAGATAATGTTTTTATTTCCACCAAGGACAACTTTCAAAGAGATTAAGTTCTGAACACCCCTGGCAAGATGAGCTAGCTGCACTATGATGGAACTACAACATAAGCTATAGAGTACTGAGTGAGCTTGCTAACAGGAACACATCTTTACTAAGACAACAATGAGGGAGGACACCATCTGAGGGCGGTCACCAGTCTGCAGCTTGCATTTCCTCTGAAACCACCTAACTGTTGAAATGTGCCAAACACTGCTCTAAGCACTTTCCAAAGAGCAACACATTTAATCCTCCTAACATACCTCTTTACTGTAGGTGCTGTCAGTTTTCATACTTTGTATGGTAAGGACAGTGAAGCACAGAGGTTAAGTGACTTGAGCTAGTGACCTCGCAAGGAAACAACAAGTCCTGGAATTCATATGAAGCAGTGTGACTCTGGGGCTCTCACCCAGGCCTCCCCTCTACACAGCTGTTGAGGAGAACGGCAAAAGCCAGGACCTTCCGGGGCAAGTGTTTAGCTGCCTTGATTTTCTCTTCTCATACGTTTTTCCAATAAATTGGACGAATCTGATCTGCAGTAGCAAGCCTTGAGGGTCCCGCGAAATTGGCCTTGGCTTGGGGTGCGGAGGAGGAACCTCCATTTTCCTGAAACAGTATTGGATGAAGCAAGCCGTATCTTTTGGAAAAATCGAAGCCCTAGTGCAGGACCTGTGTGCGGCAAGGCATTGCTTTCTGCAGAATCACACAAACTTTCCTGCATGAAGTTCAGAAGCCTTGACATAGAGCTTCTCTAACCACACACCAGCTAAGGGGCCGAGGCTGAGGCTGAGTCACCCTGCAAGTTCCCTGACAGGAGTTTAACTTCACATTTCAACTGGTTTTCCAGTAGAGACTCAAGATATTTGTTGAATTGAAAGGGATGCCTGCTTTTACATACTATTTGCTGTTAGCTCTTTTAACAGATTAGCAATAACTAGTTTAACATCCCAGGGATGAGTAATTAACATATAATAACTTGTGTGTTGTGGCTTGTTTATCAATATTTTTGTTTATGGTCCTTTGGGATTTTTTTGAATATTTTTCTCTACTTATTTATTTTGAGACTAGGTCATTAAGACTGGCTAATTTTCGTATTTTTGGTAGAGACAGGGTTTCTCCATGTTGCCCAGGCTGGTCTCAAACTCCTGGGCTCAGGTAATCCAAAGTGCTAGGATTACAAGCATAAGCCACCTTGCCCAGCCTTGGCCAAAGAATCGTGTACTCCTTATAAATTTTACTTTAAAATCAAGTGTAATGCTCCCCACATCATCCCCCTACCTCTAGAGAGAAAAAAAAAGTCAAGAAATAAATCGTAGTAAAATTTGAGTCCTTCAATTTGTCATGATTTATTCTGTAAGGTAATATATGCAATAAAATTCAAAACTGAAAATTTCACTTGATTCCTTAGAATTTGGACGAAATCCTGAAAGAAAATGAACCTTTTCTCTGGAAATTTAGTGTCAATGTCATCATGCAGTGATATAAAAAGATATACCACACAGTGTTAAGAAAAACAGGTAAATTAGATACAAGTCTCTGCTATATACTGAAAGCCATGGGAACAGGGCGCCACCGCCTAGAGAGTGAGAAATGAAGATGGGTCCCAGCAGAAGTAACAAAAAGCAAGTGCTTGCCAGAGAGAGGGGGCTGGGAGGGAGAGGAGAATGGAGAAAGGGAGTGTGGGAATGTGAGAAAGGGCAGTTGTAGCAAGCACAGAGGAAGAACAATCAGGTAGGGGTGGGGGTGAGGTACTGGAGTTAGGAGCAGAGAACAGGAGTTGAAGGGAGCCTTCACCAGGATGGGGGCCTTGCCAGGCCCTGGAAATGACCACCTTCAAGGAACATATAGTTGAGAATTTAGAGAGCATGTAGACTGGTGGCTCTATTTTACAGTTAAACTAGAGAGCCTACCTTTCTGACTTGGCTGTTTTGATGTTTTAATATGTGATTTCATTTTCATAATGTAATCAATCTATTTTATATTTTCCAAATCATGTTTTCCATCACAATTTAAAGTAAATTTAAGAAAGATGTGAGTCTGTTAGATGGGGGAAGTAAATAATTATCCATTATTTAAACTTGTATTAAAAATAAGCCCCTAAACTGGCCAGGTGCAGTGGCTCACACCTATAATCCCAGTACTTTGGGAGGCCGAGGAGGGTGGATTCCTTAAGGTCAGGAGTTCAAGGCCAGCTTGGCCAACATCCTCAAATCCCGTCTCTACTAAAAATACAAAAATTAGCTGGGTGTGGTGGCACGCACCTGTAATTCCAGCTACTGGGGAGGCTGAGACAGGAGAATCACTTGAATACAGGAGGCGGAGGTTGCCGTGAGCCGAGATCATGCCACTGCACTCCAGCCTGGACAACAGAGTGAGACCCTGTCTCAAAAAATCAAGGAAAAAAAACCCTAAATATAATCTTTAATATATTGATTCAGAAATTTAAAGAAAATTGGCCAGGCACAGTGGCTCAGGCCTGTAATCCCAGCACTTTGGGTGGCTGAGGCAGGTGGATCACTTGAGATCAGGAGTTTGAGATCAGCCTGGCCAACATGGTGAAACCCTGTCTCTATTAAAAATACAAAAATTAGCCAGGTGTGGTGGTGCATGACTGCAGTCCCAGTTACTTGGGAGGCTGAGGCAGGAGAGTCACTTGAACCCACGAGGAGGTGGTTGCAGTGAGCCAAGATTGTGCCACTGCACTCCAGCCTGGCAACAGAGCAAGACTCATCTCAAAATAAAAATAAAAATAGAAAATAAAAATTAACCTAAAACCAGTTAACATATACTGTCAGGTAAAAAAAAAAGATTAAAAGTTTCCCAAGGGGGGTTGGAAAAATTTGGGAGGGGCACCTTCTATGAGAGGGGAACAAGCAAAGACTCCCCGACTCCCCCACTAGTAGGGCTATCCAGCCTCAAGGGATCCATGGCCACCAGATCTACCTTCTGTCACATCCCTGCACGCCTTGGCATTCCTTAATGTCTCAAAGGTGATTTGTACATACCAAGTTATATCCATACCCATTCAGAGGCAATTACCTCTGTAATATCATTCATGTCAGAGGTCATTGTGATTCTCATACACAATTATACCAAGGCAAACAGTGGTCAATGTTGGACAGAAGCAAAGGGGACTTGTGCTGAAATGAATAGATTCACAAGTCCCACACTTGTGGGAAGGGAAAAAGGAAGGGAAAAAGGAAGGGAAGTAAACACCATTTTTAAATATAGAAATGTTCTAGTTTTCGGCAATTTTCAGAGTAGTGTGACACAGGGAGAGGAGCAATGTCTCTTGAGGACTTCCCAATATTTTAATATAACATCGTGCTTGTCAAAACACCTGATAAATACATAGGCCAAAATGGATCTCTAATGAAATATATGTGACTTTATCTTACATGATAGGATTAAGGGCATGCTCATTAAGCAAGACCAAAACTGAATGCATCTATCTGCTAAAACCTAGTAAGATAAAACTAGACTCAAAGTATCCTGGACAATTGAAACATCATCTGTCAAATTAAATAAAAGGCAAGTTAGTGTAATTTTAATTTGTCCTTGAGTGCACTGAGAAAAGTAGAATAAAAGCTAGGTAAATAAAAGCTAGAAACGGATCTTATAGTGATAGTGGTACATCAGCTCAAAGAGACAACAAGCCTAACTTTTTTCTTATTTTTTTTAGAGATTGAATCCCACTCAGTCGCCCAGGCTAGAGTGCAGTGGCACCATCTTGGCTCACTGCAACCTCCGTCTCCTAGGCTCAAGCCATTCTCCTGCCTCAGCCTCCCGAGTAGCTGGGATTACAGGTGCCTGTCACCATGTCCAGCTAATTTTTGCATATTTTTAGTAGACACGGGGTTTGACCATGTTGGCCAGGCTGGTCTTGAACTCCTGACCTCAGGCGATCTGCCCACCTCGGCCTCCCAAAGTGCTGGGACTACAGGCGTGAGCCATCATGCTCGGCCCAAGACCTGAATTGAGACACAGGATCTAGAGATTTGCTGGGGAAGATTTAGCCTGATTACTGATTATCAATTATTGCTATAGAACACCTAAAAGTTTACACAAAAAAACTGGGCTGAGATATGTTAATAATAAATGTTGAAATAACGAAAACACTGTCAGATGGTCACATACACATATGCACATCAAAAAGCAATAAACAGGCTGGGCGCAGTGACCCACACCTGTAATCCCAACACTCTAGGAGGTCAAGGCAGATGGATGATCTGAGGTCAGGAGTTCCAGACCAGCCTGGCCAACATGGTGAAACCCCACAACAAAGTGAGATTCTGTCTCAAAAAACAAACAACAAAAAACCCACCAAATACTGTGACTTTCCAAGGAAAGTTGGGAAGCAAGAACTCAACTTTGACAAGAGGATGATTAACGGATTATTTTGAGCGCTCAAATTTGACTAAAGAATTTTGTACTTGAGGGTCTTAAATGTTACATCCTCCTAGGATCTTTGCATTTTAAAATGTCATTGTGTATAAACTTCTTAGGGGAAGTGAATCTTCTACCTCAAACTTGGAGTTTCACCGTGATGTTAATAATGGAGACAGGGAAGGAGGCACAAAGAAAAGACCGTAATTGGGAGATAGGGGACATGATAAGAGTAAAGGGCAAGCTCCTTGCATGACTGAATTAAAATGTTCTAATTTCAAATATATATTTCACATTCAATATAATTTTTACTATAGTCTATGGGCACTTCTTTTTGCCAGAAGGTTATAAATAATATGGTAGACTACTAAACATACAGTTGTACATCCATCTGATCCCTTCCCACGAAAAAGTGGATAAACTTGCAAGATAAACTCATGACACCATGAGCAATGGGAAGCTGGAAACATGAGAGATGAAGTGAGTGACAGTGATTCTGTGCACTGCAAGGAAGCAGACAGTAATGATGAGTGCAGTGGAGGAGCCCCCAGAAAGCCAGCCACTTTAGGGCACAGAGCTTGGGGAGGCCTCAGTAAGTGGGGGTGCAACATGGGGCTGAAAAATAGAGCATTAGCCCAAAGTTTCTAAGAGGAGTTAGATCCTTAACCCAGTTCAACCAGGTAACTGTTCTCATCCACTGAAAACAGGCGGGAGATTGTCAAAGTCCGCGCACTGAATCATGAGCCCATATCCCCACCCACACAACCCTACCATCCTCTTCTCCACTTGGCTTTTAGGACGCTGGCAGCCAAGCTTGCATCTCTAGACAGGAAATCTCAAGATTTTTCTCTGGAACAAAAAAAAAAATGTTTTTTTTTCCTCTGGGAAAACTCAACTCAGAAAAAAGACCCATATGCTGGCTGGCTGCCTTATTATTCTACGGAGAGGACTACAGGCTAGCAAGCCTGGCCCATACTGTAACAGAGAGCTTCAAGTCATTTTTTAAAACATCTCTTTCTCTCTTAAAAATATAAATCAAGGCTGGGTGCAGTGGCTCAAGCCTGTAATCCCAGCACTTTGGGAGGCCGAGGTGGGCGGATCACCTGAGGTCAGGAGCTCGAGACCAGACTGACCAACGTGGAGAAACCTCATGTCTTCTAAAAATACAAAATTAGCTGTGCATGGTGGCGCATGCCTCTAATCCCAGCTACTCAGGAGGCTGAGGCAAGAGAATCGCTTGAACCTGGGAAGCGGAGGTTGCGGTGAGCTGAGATTGCGCCATTGCACTCCAGCCTGGGCAACAAGAGCGAAACCCCATCTCAATAAAGAAAAAAAAATCAAGACATCTGAAGAACCTCTAACAAGAAAGAGAAAATAGGAAACAGACAAAGATTTTTAAAAATTATAGTACAGGCCAAGTGTAGTGGCTCACGCCTGTAATTCCAGCACTTTGGAAGGCTGACGTGGGAGGATTGCTTAAGCTCAGGTGGTGAGACCAGCCTGCCTGGGCAACAAAGTGAGATGCTGTCTCTACAAAAAGTAAAAAACTTAGCCAGGTGTACTGGCATGCACCTGTGGTCCAGCTACTTGGGAGGATCCCTTGAGCCCAGTGGTTGGAGGCTGCAGTGAGCCATCATCACATCACTGCACTCCAGCCTGGGTAAGGGCATGAAACTGAAACAAAAACAAAAACAAAAAATACGTTATAATGTATTCAAAAAGCAAGAGAAACGATTATAGCCATCAACTAGGCTCTGATTATTCTTTAAAAGTCAGTACATTCAGAGAAAAAAAAAGCTCTTCAAAATATCAAGAAAAAAAATAAGTAAATAAAAGGCTAGAAGGCTGGGCACTGTGGCTTGTGGCACATGCCTATAATCCTGGTACTTTAGAAGACCGAAGTGGAAGGATTGCTTGAGTCCAGCAGTTTGAGACCACTCTGGGCAACACAGTGAGACCTTGTTTCTGCAAAAAATATAAATATTAGCTGGGCATGGTGGCACACACCTTTAGTCCCAGGTACCAGGGAGCCCCAGAGTTCGAGAATGCAGTAAGCTGTGATCGCACCACTGCATTCCAGCCTGAGTGACAACAAAACAAAACAAAACAAAACAAAACCAAAACAAAACCCACATACAAAAAAGATTAGATGATAAAGCTGAAGAAAGCATAGAGAAATCAGAACAAAAAGATAATGAGATAAAACATAAAACAGAGGAGAAAAGATAAAAACAGCGGATCAATCCAGGAGGTAAAATGCCTTATATTAACAGGAATTATAAAGAGAGCAGAGAAAATAGAGGGAAGGAAATTTTCAAAGAACTACCACATGACAAATTGCCTGAACTGAAAGACATCAGCGTACATAAGATCTCATAGAGTAGCCAACACAACCATGAAATGACCTAGTCAAGACCTATCATTTTGACATCTCAAGACCCTAGGGAAAAGGAGAAGATCCTCAAACTTTCCAGAAGAAAAACAGAACATGCATCAAGGGATGAAAAATTAGAATGGCAGTCTTCTCAACTGCAGCACTGGAAGCTAGTGGACAAACCAGGAAGAACGACTGCAAGACAGTGAGAGAAAAATCACTTCCAATCTAGAATTCCACACCTAGCCAACTCTCAATTAAGCATGAGGCTAGGATAAAGTCATGCTCAGATATATAGGATCTCAACATTTTTACACTCCCACACACCCTTTCTCACAAAACTACTAAAGGATGATGCACGCCCTTAAATGAAGGCTCACTTTAAGAATGAGGAAGAAATGGGATTCAGGAAACAGAACATTCAATAGAGGAGAGAAAGAAATGAAGATGATGATGTTGATGATCTGCCCCAGGATAAGTTATGAAACAGATCCAAAGAATAAATATCCTAACTGGAAAGTGTGCGTTAGAAAAGATGTGGCCCAAGAAACTTGAAATATAATAATATGCTTCATAAGCATTATACATTTCAAAAAATGAAAAACGATTTTAGAAGTCTATACAAATCTTCCAAATTACCTATTTCATTTTCTGTCCATCACATGGGCATAGGCACTTTAATTTGGAGGAATAATCATGTGACATGTAAGAACAAAAACATGCAAGAAAAGGAACCAAATGAAATAAAAATCCCAAGCTGGTAAGAGATTTCTCATACTCACCATCTCTCTGGCTATTTCCAGCGCTTCCTGCAGGCCATAGAGCCTGCCACAAACCAGGTAGATTCCATTGGCCCAGAGAATACAACCCTCATGGACCCAAAATTCATTGCTGTCAAGAGGTAGTTCAGGGATTTGTAACTCCAGCTCAGGGCCACCTTCTGAAGTGGTGGGCACGGAGGGCTTCGAGTCCAAAACAGTCTTTTCACTGCTGCCCTCAGTGGCTGCTTTTTTACAAGGGAGCCCCCTGGACAGGGACCGAGGGCCTCCACCACAGTCTTCCGAGCGGTGGCGCCGCTTAAACCTGGGGTGTGCGGCCAGGCTTCTCTGCTCCTTCTGCTGCTGCTGCTGCTCTTCCTCCTCCTCAGTGTCCGTCTTGGAGCCATTAGAAGCACTTTTGTGCCGTACCTTAACTTTGCTCTGCATTTCTGTGGCCCTCTTAGGAGGTGGATTCTTCGGGAGAGTGGCTGCATAATCTTGGGGATAAAAAGGTCCAAAGAGGTCACCCATGTTCCGGTAACTGGCCCACTTGCCACACAGACAGCAAACCAGGTGCCCCATAACCGAAGACTCTGTCACAACAGGTCCCTGCAGCATAAAGGACGAGGCCGGGAGCGCCTTGCTTTCAGTGCTGCTAGGTGGAGGGGTCAGTGACCTCTGACCCTTCCTGCCCCTCACTAATTTGGTCTGTTCTTCTTCCTCAGCATTGATGATTGTACAAACGGCTCCAAGTTCACACTTATTTACTACATGGATGTAAGGGTAAAAAGACTTGTTCTTGGCATCAGTTTTATCCAGTGGCTGGGTGGCATATTTTAGTTTGATCTCAGGTTCTTGGGGTTCCACAATGGGAACTGCTTGTTTGGTTTTTCGCTTCCTCGGCTGGGCCCCAGGCTTCCTTCTCTCCCTCCTTTGCCTCTGTTTTTTTGGCTTTGGCTCTCCATCTGCAGAACCTTCTGGTATCTGTGGGGGCTGAGGGGGTGGAGGCGGTGGCTGCTGCTGTTTCTTTTGCTTATTCACACTACCAATGGGTCTCCCCTTCTTCTTTCCTGATGGGAAATATCCCTTTGGAGGGAAACCCTCTTGCTTCGGTGAAATCGTCACTGTATCGTTCTCCTTCTCTTCAGCCTTGGGGTTTGCCTCAGGGGCCAATATGCCCACTGGAGGTACATTCTTTGAGTCTGGAAAGATTAAAGGTGCTGTTCCACCCAGGGAACCATCTGGTCTCCCTTGGTTACTACCAGGCTTCTGTGAGGTTGTGGATGTCATGGCACCAGGGGGTTCCTTTCCGGCAGTAACTGTTTCTGCATGTGTCTCTGTCTTCACTTTGTCATCCACGCTGCCACGCCACTCTTCTGAAGACCTTGGAAGAGGTTTCTCTACGTGCAACTCCTGGTTTGCTGGACTGACTAGGTCCGAAGCCACCTCACCTTTTCTCTTCTCTATGTCAGCATCCTGAACAGCAACACTCCCACCTTCAGGAGGACCACTCTTCAAAGACAGTATATCATCAAGCGTAACCGTGTCTCCCCCAGCCTCCGCACTGTTCGAAGATGCGCTCCTCCTAATATTTGGGGATGTAATCTTCTGAACTATAGCTTCCAATTTCAATCCCCGTCCTTTCCGTGGGGGCAGTATTTTGGTCTTAGCAGGGCTTGTGAGGGTAACAGCAGGGCAGTTTCTACTATCTGGACTTGGAAGGTCCTTGGAGGAATCTCTCTTAGGGATAGACTTGATATCCTGACTGTGAGAAAGATGGGCATAGGAATTGAATGCTTTATCAGCGCCTTCTTTTGATGAGTGAAGGAGGCGACCTTTATCTTCAGTGCTACTGTTCTTTACATCTTGTGACTGTCTCTTACTGGGAATGGGAGAGATAAAAGAACGAACACGCCTCCTCATGATTAAGGGGTTTTGAGAAGAATGATCCTCCTGGCCTGGAAGTCTCAGCATAACACTACCAGGTTTGGATGACTGTGTAGCCTCAGCTAGTCCATGTCCATCAGTCTCATGGGGCGGCCCATACCTTTTTTGACTGGACATTCCTGGAGGACCGCTGCTTTTGGCTGGAGAAGTTTGCCGAGAAAGATCCCAACAGGATTCTTGTAACTTCTGGGAGCCATGCTTTAATTCCATGCCCTTGTTAGGCAGACCATCACTAGACATTAGGCAGCGCCCAGCCTCCTGGGCACTGGGGTCATGGTAAGTCCCCACTGGTGGGCCATACATCATACCATCTTTGTCATTTTTCAGAGGGCTCCGTACTCTGTCAAGAAACTGCTGCTGCCTTGGACTCTTCCGTGGCCCCTCCTGCCTGTGCTGTGCTGCAGCAATTACTCCCTGAGCAGAACCGCTGCTCCAGTCTTTATACTCCTCTGGTTGCTGTTGGTACATCTGTCTCTTATAATGCAGCTGAGAATTCAAACCTGCGTTAGGGTCCCCATAAGCATGAGCCCGAGTATTTGCATGATAAGCAGAGGCCAGGGTTTCTGAGTTGGGAGAAAAGGGAGTGTGTAAAGAACTCCGGTTAGCCCTCTCTGAAAAGGTCATGTGTGGATTCATGTGATGAGGGTCTCCCCCTGGGCCTCTGCTCCGCCCAGGAGACATTTTCAATTTTTCTGCAAAGTCATGATATTGAGAAGGGGACCGACCCCTCATGCCCTCCCGACCACCAACTCTGCCAGGGACCCGCCGCATTGGCGTGGGTCTGCTGTCTTGCGGGCCATAGTCTGAAAGGGAATCATGGGTTGCTGCTCCAGGGCTGGCATTGCCGCGGTAAGACTCATGCTTGATGCTAGGAGGATGGCAGTGGTCTCCAGATTTCTTGTTGTTGAAACTAGCTTGAGATTTAGACTGTTCAAAGTCTTCCTCTTTTATCTGCCCGCTCTGGGATTTCAGCTTGGTTTCCATGGACACCAAACCACCAGGAAGAATGACCGACTGACTTAAAGTTGGATTGAGACGGTCATTCCTCCCAATTCTGGTGTCGGCACTCATGTGTCCCAGTGAGTGAGCCCCTGGGTCCCTGACAATCTGTCTTAGTGGAGAAATATCACAGATCACTGATCTTCTTTCAGAGAGGGAACCCCCAGGCTCATGTGCTGATGACTGAGGCTCTATTTCAAACTTTCTGGGAATTGGATAGTCAGTCAAATTGATCTGTTTCATTTCAGGAGCTGTGCTGCTTGATTTCCTTTCCCAGGGGCCCCAGTGGGGATTTTCTAATAGAGACCCAATGCTTTTGTTCAGAAGGCCCCTGCTAGCTAATTCATTGGTTTGACTAACCAAGACATTGGGCCTTGTGGTTCCTTCTAGGCTACCAGCCATCCCCTGATGCTCTTGAGTACTCCTAGAATATCTCCTGTCAGGGTGGTGGTGGTAACCCTGAAGCACTTCCTGCAGGAGGCTTGGGAATTTTTCATTTCTACCCTTTCGTTCCCCATGGCCAGTGAAATCTCCCTTTTCTTGCCCTGTAGGATACTGAGGAAAGCCACTGACATTTCGTGGCACGGCTGACCCGAAACTATCTTTGTAACTATAGCGCAGACTTCCAGGAGATTTGCTAGGCTCAGTTCTGCTCGTAAAACCAGGGCCCGCTGCAGAGTGGCCACTCTGGCCATTTCCTTCTCCATTATGGTTGGAGTTGTTATCGCCATTCTTGTTTCCTTTGCTCCCTCCTCCTCCTGGAGGCTCTGGCTGGGGAAGTGATGCATGACTGGTTTCCTTTGCCCCACCATTGCTAGGTGGCCTTTGAGTGGCTGCAGGATCATCCTCTTGGGAGCCTTTATCTTGTCCACCAGGCTTTTCTACCCGACCTGTCATGGCTTCCCGGGAGACAATCACCCCAACAGTCTTCTCATTAACCTTTGGGTTCCCGTCGGATGACAATGGCATGTCCTTAGCGCCTGGTGAGGTGGCCTCTTCTCTTGCGGCAGGACTAGCATTGAGTCTGGGGGGTTCATTCTGAGCACCTTGTGCCGGTGAGGAGCCAGCTTTCTCAGAGGCTCCACCCTTGTAGGTGGTGTCAGAGCTGGTGCTCTGGCCACTTAGTTGCCGCACTCTCTCGCCTTGATCCTCTGAACTGCTGGAGCAGCCTCCATCTAATGACTCTGCCATAGGGGACTTCAGCTGTTCTTCAGGTTGTGAGGAGCCTTCAGAATTTGTGCAGCTATCTGCTTTCTTGGAAGATGAGGGCCTCTTGGAGGTCTTCTTCTGAGGAGTCAGGGCATCAGAAAGTAACATGTGCTGGACAGTGTTAGGAAGATTGGCCACTTGAGTACTCAGAGCACTCAAACTACTCAACCCAGGATCTGTCAGTCGCTTTTCTGGTACCCCTTCTAGTCCAAACCCTTTGAAGCCTGCAGCATGAGAATTAGGACTGGGCATCATTGATGGGGTTGGACTGAGTTGAGGCATTAACTGTAAAATTCTGTTTCTGGAACCCATAGGCACACTGCCTTGCCCACACTGGAGATTCTCCCCAGTCTGCATGAGAGGAGATGGGGTAGAACTACAGCTTGGAGACTGAACCACAGAGGCAGCTGGAGAAGGGTTAGAAATGGGGCTGAAGTTCTGGTGAAACTGCATGGGGGACCTCACAGGAACCTCAGGCTGGTTGTACTGCCCCACTTGGCTTTGCAGGGGCAGCTTGGTGGCAGCGTTAGTATACTGCATCACATGCTGAGAAGGGTGTTGTTGTTGCTGCGGTTGCTGCTGCTGCTGCCCCTGTTGGGTCCCTTGTGGAATCTTTGCCTGTTCAAAATTCTTCATAGATTGAGGCTGATAGCTGTAATTGGATTGTGTTCCATAAGCCTGTGCATTAGAACCCACATTGTGTCCTTCATACTGAGATCCAGCATTCACATTGTAACTGCCATCATAGCTCTGTCCAGACTGGCTAAAACGCTGTGGTGAAGGGAAGGAGGAGGAGGAGGAGGAGGAAGCAGAAGACTGATAGTGTTGGCCAAACTGACCCACTCTTAACTGGTAACCAGCAGCAGAGGATGGCAGAGTTGAGGGCCGCTGCATTGGCTGTAGATGGGATGAGCTGGATGCTGGTTGGCCAGTGGCCTGTGGCAGGGGCTGATGGGACTGGTAAAGCTGTTGTCTCAACTGCTGGACTTGCTGCTGCTGCTGCTGGCTGGAAGCCTGCTGTTGGTACTGAGCACTCCCTGGAGAGAAAGGCCCAGTGTAATCCTGCTGATAATGTGACACACCGCCAAGGCCAGAGTGCTGTGCTTGAAACTGGCCCACATGACCCTCACTCCCATACTGATTGCCAAAGCTGCTCCCCTGGGGGGGTCCATAGCTCTGCACAGGCCCAGAAGGCCTTCGCTGAGGAGGCTGTGGGGTTCCTGTAGTCACGGGGTCTTTGTTGCCTGCCATGTAGTAAAAATCTCCAGCCTCTTTCCTGAAACCCTGGTAACCTTGATGGCCAGAGGTCTCGCTAGCCATCGCTGCCGCAGCAGCTGCTGCTCCTCGTCGTCCACC
The DNA here is from genome assembly GCF_000001405.40 of Homo sapiens. Classification (NCBI taxonomy): domain Eukaryota; kingdom Metazoa; phylum Chordata; class Mammalia; order Primates; family Hominidae; genus Homo; species Homo sapiens. Next base: position 137,483 of record NT_187682.1, read on the forward strand.
ACCACTGCCACTGCCACTGCTGCCACTACTGCCACCTGTACCTCCAAAATTCTGGAACATCTGGGCCTGACGAGGGCTGAACTCTTCTAGCCGGGATGAGCCGTGTACCTCCTGTGGGTAGCTTTGCTGGTTTCCGTGGTAACTGCTTTGCTCCCGAAAGGACTGCATACTGTTCAGCAGCACAGCAGCAGGCCAACAGCCCTCCTAGAAATAGAAGAAAGAAAAACATTAGACACGCATCTCCTTGGTACAAATAAAATCAAGTCTAGATGATGGAGGGAATAAAGATGAATCAGAGGCCCAGATGAAGCTGACTGGTTTGAATTTCTATTTTTTTTTTTTGGTTTTTTGAGACAAGAGTCTCACTCTGTCACCCAGGCTGGAGTGCAATTGCACGATCTCAGCTCAATGCAACTTCTGCCTGCAGGGTTCAAGCAATTCTCTTGCCTCAGCCTCCCGAGTAGCTGGGACTACAGGCGCATGGCCACCAGGCTCGGCTAATTTTTTGTATTTTTAGTAGAGACAGGGTTTCACTGTGCTGGCCAGGCTGGTCTCGAACTCCTGACCTCGTGATCCGCCCACCTCGGCCTCCCAAAGTGCTGGAATTACAGGCATGAGCCACCACGCCTGACCTTGAATTTCATCTTTTATATTTTATCCTATCCACTTCTGAAAATGCACATATGCAGAGAAATGGCCTAAAGAGTGAGGCAAGAATCTGTAGTAGAATGAAAAGCAGCACTCTGAGTGCATACAAACCCAATACAGCAAAAACATGTATGTCTCATATATCTAATAATGCCTTATTAGACAAATGAGCCCCCAAACTCAACCAGATTAAAATATGGGGCTGTGTTATTACTGTCAATGAAAAACAGCAATTTTTCAATAAGCCTCCCAGTTATGCGGGGGAGGGGGTGTGGGGTAAGAAAAACCAAATCCTTTTTTTTTTTTTTTTTTTTTTTTTTTTGAGACAAGGTCTCACTCTTGCCCAGGCTGGAGTGTGCAGGGGCACAGTCGTAGTTCACTGCAGCATCAAACACCTGGCTTCAAATGATCCTCCTGCCTCGGCCTCTCAAAGTTTTGGGACTACAGGCATAAGCCACTACTTTCATTTCTCTGCTTTCATGTATTAGGGTGATCACTGAACTGCGGGTTTTAACACTGGCTGCTGATCGCCACTCCCCAACACTGAGAAACAGACCTGGCCAGAGAACTGCAGCCAATTCCTTATGTCCAAGTGCAAATTTTTGCAGCTTTACTATAATTGCCAACTACCTGTGATGACTGGTGACTCCAGGACACTCAGCCCATATGGGTTCCACACAAACTTTGGAGTCAACCTCTTCTTGGCATATGACTGTGTCTACAGCACCCCTCTCTCCACCACTCTCCTTCAATTCCCAGGTACAAAGGGCTAGACTTAAGCCAGTGAATAGCAGTGACTATTCTTCCAGATTATTTTGGGAGGTTTCCAAGAAGTTCCAGCACCTTTACCCGCCATGTGGTATTTGTATTTGCCAGTTTTTTAAATTCACAGTTATTACTGGCCATTACTATGAAAGAATTAGAAGCAATCATCTTGGAGGACAGCAAAAAACAGAGAGGAAAATAGGAATTCATCAAGCCTAGGACCCAGACTCTTTCAAAGTTATCTGACTGAGCCACCACTTTGTATTACCTATTATAATCCCTCTTAATCAATCAAGCTGATTTTTTCCCCTTTCACCTGGGCCTGTCTCCTCAGAGTCAGAGATGAAAGGGACAAGGCCAAATTGCTCCAAGTGACTTTAGAACCAATTACTTAAAAAAACAAGTTCCAAAATACATATAGGGTAAAGTGAGGTGTAATAGACAGTTTAGTTTAGTTACAATGGTTTATGAAGCTAGTTTCCTAGTTCCCCTGAAGGGGAGCTGAAAATGGAGTTGCCTGCAGGAAAGTCAACAACCTTTTTAAAGGTAAGTCAGATTTATCCTCTCCAATCCCTGGAGTGGCTCCCACCTCATTCTTTGGGAAACTGGTCTCAAAGGCCCCTGCTCCCACCCCCTTGACCTCTCTGAGCTCCTCCCCTATCACTCTCTGCTCTAGCCCCACAGTTGCCTTGTTCCTGGAACAGGCCTACCACATATCTACATAGGAACTCTGTTCTCACCTGCACGTTCTTCTCCCAGAGCCAGATAGCTTGCTCTCCTTCCAGTCTTTGGGCAAGTGTCACTCATTCCCTGGTCATTCTAGTAAAAACAGCCAGCTCCACACCTTTTCCCTGGCTGTAACTCCCTCCCCTGTTTTATCCCCTGCCTGGCCCCATACTTACTCCAAACAGACACATATATGCTACTTGTTTACTGTCTGTCTCTCCTCTGACTAAAATGTAAACTCCTTAAAGGGCAGAAACTGACTGTTCCTTGCTGTAATCCTCACGTCATCACACCGGAGTCTGTGTGAATGATTAAATGGTGTAAGAACTAGGCCTTAGAGAACTAGGCTAGAACTCACATATTCAGAGATGGTGCTGTGGGAGTGACATGAGAGAATTATAGAAAGTGAAAATAGAATATGATCAACCTAAAAGCAGAGCTGGAGGATGCTGAAGACCTTGCCTGTAAAATCCCATGAGTCCGGTTCTAAGGGAAAGACCCAGCTTGAGTCCACATGAGAACTGAGGAAAGACTTCAGAAAGTAAATATTGATTAGAGCAGAAGATGGCCAGTAACCCCAAATTCTAAAAGCTTGACCCATATCTTGAAATATCGTAAGTCTAAAACAGCTAGACAAGGGTCTACTTCCTTAAGCTTGATTATATAGTCATGTGACCCAAAACAATCGCTAAACATTCATGTGCAAATAATGTCAGAATCTAAAGGAAACTTCTCATCCTATTCAAAATGCCTCTGTTGCTTTGTTCCAGTGAATCTGCAGGGCAGTAGGTAATAGCTATTCAAATGGTGATGATGCTGCTTGACACTGTTCCAGCACTTCACATACACTAACTCATTTAATCCTCACAACACTAGCACGCTCCTTTTACAGATGAGGAAACAGAAGCAGAGTTCACAAAGCTCCTAGGCAGCAGGGCTGGGGGCAGGACATGTTTTTAACATTACATTGCCCAGAGGGTCTTCCACATGGTCAGTAAAAAATACCAGTTGTCCTGTCAGTTTGGCCTTGAAAGTGGGTAGCCACCCACAATAAATCTGTCCCTTCACTGCCACCCTCTTATAAGGACCTCCATACTGTTCCAGCTGGCTCTTCACCCGCTCCCCATCATTCTTAGAACTATCAAGAGCAATTCTGTCTACATGAGTATTAATTTTTTCCCCTTGTGATGTGCTCCTGCTCTACTCCTCAGTGCCAGTGGCCTTCTCTAGATAAAACAAGGCTGAATGGGGGCTAAATTGAACAAAAACATTAAAGCTAGCAGTTTAAACTAATGAAAAGCCTTCTCAAGAGATATTCTCTATAAAAAGCTATGTTACATGTTGTTTAATTAATCCTTCTGGAAATAAAATCAGGCTTCTGAAGATCTGAGTGTATAAACAATGTTGCCACTTGCTCCATATTCTTCCTAAATAGGAGCCACCAAGAGCTAAAGGCCACTTTAAACATCAGGGTATCAGGCCTGAGGCTGCCCTATCTCCAGACAGGGAAAACAGATACAGGAAGGACTCCTTCTTAGGTCTGTTCTCAGCCTTCCCCTGCAGATTCCCTGTCCTGTATGATACCCCTTTCCCTATTGTTATGGTTCTACTTTATGAAAAAGAAAAAAAAAAAATCCAAGGCCAAATACCTCCTGCAGGGTTCCAGTCATGCTAAATATTCTTAGTATACATGAAGCACCTGAGTAGGAGAAGGTGGTTGCCCAGGTTTATCTTTTTTAGGAATGCCAAGTAAACCAATTAAGAAAACCAACTAGCATATACCAACGACAGAAAATGTAAACCTGGAGCTATAAAATAAGTAATAGGCTGGGTGTGGTGGCTCACACCTGTAATCCCAGTGTTTTGGGAGGCTGAGGTGTGAGGATCGCTTGAGGTCAGGAGTTCAAGACCAGCCTGGGTTAAAAAAAATTTTAAATGCACAGTGTCATGAGGTGTGCCTACAGTCCCAGCTGCTCAAGAGGCTGAGGTAGGACGATTGCTTGAACTCAGGAGTTCGAGGCTGCAACGAGCTATGAATGTGCCAATGTGCTCCACCCTGGGTGACAGTAACCCTGTCTCAAAAAAAAAAAAAAAAAAAAAAAAAAGCTAATAGAGATAATTCCAATTTTATCCCATCATCTTAAAAAAAGCATCAGTGTAGTCAGTTTTAAAGCACTGTGATTAGTAATAATAAGTGCCTGAATTCCTTTGTTTAAATGAATACAAATAGTAAGGAAAATCTGATACCTCAAAGGAATAAGTCACCTAAGGAACTTGCATACACACTCTAAAAAAGAGGCTGGGCACAGTGGCTCACCCCTGTAATCCCTGAACTTTGGGAGGTCAAGGCGGGCAGATCACTTGGGCTCAGGAGTTCGAGACCAGCCTGGGCAACATGGCGAAACCCTATCTTTATAAAAAATACAAAAATTAGCCAGGCATGGTGATGCGTGCCTGTAGTCCCAGCACCTCGGGGGGCTGAGGCAGGAGGATCGCCTGAGCCTCGGAGGCAGAGGTTGCAGTGAGCAGAGATCGCGCCACTGCCCTCCAGCCTGGGCAACAAAGCGAGATTCCGTCTCAATAAATAAATAAAAAAGAGGCCTACCGATGTACTTCCCATCCATAATGACTCTCCCTTTCCTGTTTTTCTCCTATATTCCTAACTTTCTGAACAGTTTCAGAAGGGCTGTGGAGGTGTATTAGTGAGGTCCAGAACTCTGTGCCTAAACATTCCAGAGTCCATGTGCCGACCTCACAAACTCACTCATAACCAGCTGCAGACTTGTTCTCCCCATCCTATTAGAGGGCTGATGACCTTGCCCTCTTATAGAAAACCAACATTGGCTTTCTCTGTCCTTCTTCCTCCATATGTCCAACAACATCCCACTTCCCAATCCATTCTCTTTTTTGGAAAGAGAGTCTCACTCTGTTGCCCAGGCTGGAGTGCAGTGGCATGACCACAGGCTCACTGCGGCCTCAACTCCCAGCTCAGGCAATCCTCCTGCCTCAGCCTCCCAAGTAGCTGGGACCACAGGCATGGGACCCCTGGCTAATTTTTAAAAAATAATTGGGACTATGGCTAATTTTTATAATTTCTTAAAAATAGAGACAGAGTCTCACTGTGCTGTCCAGGCTGGTCTCAAACTCCTGGGCTCAAGCCATCCTGCTGTTTCAACCTCCCAAAGTGCTAGAATTCAGCCATTGTGCCTGGCCCCAGCTAATTTTTTCATCCTCTGTCATGATTTTCTGCTTATTCTCCTTCTTTGCCTTTAAATCCTCAAGACATTGACAATGATGCATCTAGTTATAGCCTGTGTAAGGGATATTCCCTGTTTGCCCCCACAGCCTCTCCTCACCCATCTCCACCCTACTCTATGCCCTAGAACGGACAATGGAAGGACAACTGACAGGCCCCACCACCCTTGCCTTCTGACCCAGTTTGGCTGGTAAGAGGCAGGAGAGGAGGAAAGTGAGAGGAACTTACTCTCCTGGCTCCCACCCCGAGGTTACTGAGGCTGGCTGAGACCCTCCACCAATGGCTGCAGCTCCATCGGGCAACCTCAACATATAGCCACTTTCTCCAAACTCCAGGAACCACTTCATCCTCTGCCCTTCAGGTCTAGAAGGCAGTAGGTAACAACTCCCTGCTACTGCTAGCACAGAAGACTTCACTTTCCTGTTGGCTTCCCCAAACCCTGCTCACCCTTTCCAGTCCCTTTATTAATCTTCTGCATTGTTGTCAACTCAGCATCGTGACCACCCTCCTTCCAAGCTCTCCTCTGCAGATCAGAAGCTGAGAACTTCCGTTCCAGAACCCTTTAGCAGCATGGTTCTGGGTTAGAGTTTGCAATGAGAAGTGCAAGAGAGATTTAGAAGGCAAAATAAACGTAGAGGTTGATGATATTCCCTGGAGGTAGATGCAGCACACGTGGATTCATAGCGGCTTCCCCATGAGCTCACGAGAACCATTCACTATGACACTTCAGTATGAAATCATCAGGAACCTTCCCAATTCCAGTTCTTCCAGGGTTGGGTAAAGCCTTAATTCCTGTATCAAAACCATTCATACCGGAATAGACAACTTCTCTTTTCCTGAATGAACCCTGAATGATACAATTAAACACTCCTTAAATTACCCAGTTTGAATGTGCCATCTGTTTTCTACTGGGACCCTGACTGATAAGAGTTCTTCTCATTCCTAGGATTTCAGAGTAGACTATTGCCACTTGGGGAATGAGAGACTTCTATTTCATGCACTATGACATAGAACAGGGACTAAAAATCCTCCCTCAACAAAACACTTAGAAATGTCAGACAAAATGTATAGCCAAGTTGCAAGAAAGTAAGAAATGCCCAAAGTCCAAAATTGGATGAGATACTATGAAGAGAGTTGCAGGCAGGTGCTGGGCTCTGAATGCCAAGGATGTGGGGTCTATAGGGCTTATTAACCATATGGCAAAGGGTTTTTTTTTTTTTTTTTGAGACGGAGTCTCGTTCTGTTGCCCAGGCTGGAGTGCAGTGGCGATATCTCGGCTCACTGCAAGCTCCGCCTCCCGGGTTCACGTCATTCTCCTGCCTCAGCCTCCCAAGTAGCTGGGACTACAGGCGCCCACCACCGTGCCTGGCTGATTTTTTGTATTTTTAGTAGAGACAGGGTTTCACCGTGTTAGCCAGGATGGTCTCGATCTCCTGACCTCATGATCCGCCCGCCTCAGCCTCCCAAAGTGCTGGGATTACAGGCATGAGCCACCGCGCCCGGCCCCATATGGCAAAGGTTTTAATGACCATGCAGAGACAGAGCAAGGCCTCTGGCCCTCTAGACAGATCAGTACTTAAGGACTCTGGACAGTGTCACTTGTGACTGTAATCATTTCTAAAAGACAACAAATGCATTTATTATTAGGCAGTAACTAACTCATTTTCAATGACAAAGATAAGGTTGTTCTTCCTCAACTGACCCAACTGCCTATTCTCAAAGAAAACCATGATCATCCCAAGCAAGAAGCTTTAGAATAACCCCAAACTGACCTTTCACTTTGACTCTGTATTTACCATGCTACCTCATCATGACACTACTCTCCTTCCTGTATTTGTCCTTTCCCATTCCATTCTCGTCACTGTCATTTTCATCTTTCTTGGGCTAGAATAACACCTGAAAAGTTCTCTTTCCCAGTACTTTCTTTTGCTTAACTGCCATTTTGACACCATCACACCCCCCCATAGGCCCTGAAGCCCTGTGACATCTTCCCAACACAATTTCTGCTTCTCCCCACCCTCTCAAACAAGCCTGCTCAGCCCCCTTTGTGCCATCGGCCCACTCTCACCTTGGTCTCAACTTGGAGCCTTTTAAGCATCCCCAGGCCCATAAATTCCTTCTTGCCACATGAGATCATATGGTTCTTAAGAGCTCTTAGAATGTGTCCTGCTGTATCTTAAGAGCTCCTAAAATGTGTTATCCATGTGATTTTCTCTACAAATCTTCCTCTAAGCAGAGAATGTGTTGGCTTTACCTTGCTTAGTAAAAACAAACCAATTAAAGTATTTACCTTTAACCAGTATCTAAGGTATGTACCACTGATATAATAAAAATTGCTGGCCGGCCACAGTGGCTCACACCTGTAATCCCAGCACTTTGGGAGGCCGAGGCAGGCAGACTGTTTGAGCTCAGGAGACCAGCATGGGCAACATAACAAGACCCCGTCTCCACAAAAAATACAAAAGAATTAGCTGGGTGTGCTGGCTTGTGCCTGTAGTCCCAGCCACTCCAGAGGCTGAGGCAGGAGGATCACTTGAGCCTGGGAGGCAGAGGTTGCAGTGAGCCGAGGCTGCACGCTACTACACTCCAGCCTGGGTGCTACAGTAAGACCTGTCCCAGTAAATAAATAAATAATTGCCATTTATTTAGCAATCTATATATGTTAGTCACTGTGTGGTTTTACCTGTAACTCAATTAATGAATGAGGGGGAAAAATTAATGTAATTTTTTCCAAAAGTCCAAATTTTCCAAAAGTCACTCCTCTAGGACAAGTTGGAGCTGACATTCTGTAACTCCAATTCTTCTGATTCTAGAGCCCATAACCCTTTCTTTCACTGTACCACAAAATTAGGCAAGGAAGATCCAAATGCATATTTTTGAAAATCCTGACACACACTTGGGTCAGATCTCTAATAACTGTAGCTATCAATTATTGCCATGCCTCACACATGTGACACACTATCAGGTGCTTTACACAAATGTTAATGCATTTCATCCTTACCATGATCTAAGAAATGTTAGTAATCCTTTTTGTAAATGGAGACTCAGAAGTTAAACAAGCAAAATATTCATGGTAAACAATGAGATAAGATATATAATATGCCCACTGCAAAACCCAGTCTGTATTTCCCAATCTGTGACATTGGGAAGCATTTTAGAAAGGAATCTTGAGGAATCTTGCTAGAATTTAGTTGACTGCTTGTACCTAGATATATCTGTAACACCTGTATCGTTTGTTTTGTGTATGTGCAAATGTGGGATCTTCCTAAGTGTATCAAGCATAAAGATCTGCTCAGTGACTTAATATTTCATACTCTATGTCCTGTTTGCACATGGGCAGAGCCTATATTTTTCTCAGTGGCTAAAAGTTATCTTAGTGTAATAGGACTTCAGAATAAAATGAAGTGTAATGAAGGTGCTGGCTTCCTCCCTGACTTGGGAGATCAGAAGAGTCTGAAAGCAACTCAGAATTCGCAAGTCAGTTCCTTGTCTAGAAGGAAAGAAACCCACAAGAATGCTGCATATCTAAAAAGATTGCTTTCTGGGTGTCAAAACTCATATTAGCCATGTAAGCCATAAAAAATATCCACCTTGAATCATGACCAAATACATGCAGGCAAAAACTAGGGGGATAAATTTGTAACTATTACATTTCCTGGCCAGGCGCAGTGGCTCACGCCTGTAATACCAGCACTTTGGGAGGCCGAGGTGGGCGGATAACGAGGTCAGGAGATTGAGACCATCCTGGCTAACACAGTGAAACCCCGTCTCTACTAAAAATACAAAAAAATTAGTCGGGCGTGGTGGTAGGCACCTGTAGTCCCAGCTACTCAGGAGGCTGAGGCAGGAGAATGGCGTGAACCTGGGAGGCAGAGATTGCAGTGAGATCGCACCACTGCACTCCAGCCTGGGCAACAAGCGAGACTCTGTCTCAAAAAAAAAATTTCCTAAAAAATTTAAAAGATGATATCCCATCTGGTTAGGTTAGGCTAAAGCTGGTACAAAAAAAAAAAAAAAAAAAAAAAAAAAGCACCATAAATGATTATGACTCTTGGAAAAGAAAACTGGTAATAAAACAGTCAACCAAACAAAAAAACAAAATACCAACATATTCACTCCAGTAATATGTATTAGAAGAAAAAACTGGCAACAACCTATTTGAAAATTGATTAAACAAATTATGGTATATCCACTCAAAGAAATAGTACATAATCATTTTAAACAATTGCAAAGACTCTAGCACCATAGAAAATTACATAGTATCAGATGAAAAGAGCAGCTCACGTAAACTTATACCTGTGCTATGATTATAACTATCTGAAAATGAGGCATTCATTTAGTCCCAGGCCAAAGGGAATAATGGAGAAAAAAGGAAAACTTCTGGACTATCCAAGATGGCAGTGTTGTGGAAGTATTTTTTCCCCTTTTCATTTCTATTTACATTAATTTTTGTGTAGGAAATAATCACTTTTTTTTTTTTTTTTTGAGACAGAGTCTTACACTGCACTGCTGGAGTGCAGTGGTGCAATCTTGGCTCACTGTAGCCTCTGCCTCCCAGGTTCAAGCAATTCTCCTGCCTCAGCCTCCCAAGTAGCTGAGATTACAGGTGCCTGCCACCACGTCCGGCTAATTTTTGTATTTTTAGTAGAGACAGCATTTCGCCATGTTGGCCAGGCTGGTCTTGAACTCCTGACCTCAAGTGATCCACCTGTCTTGGCTTCCCAAAGTGCTGCGATTACAGGGTGAGCCACAGTGCTCAGCCAAAATGTCATTAACCTCATTTAAAAATTACAACCCTTAGGCCGGGCGCGGTGGCTCACACCTGTAATCCCAGCACTTTGGGAGGCCGAGGCGGGTGGATCATGAGGTCAGGAGATCGAGACCATCCTGGCTAACAAGGTGAAACCCCGTCTCTACTAAAAATACAAAAAATTAGCCGGGCGCGGTGGCGGGCGCCTGTAGTCCCAGCTACTCGGGAGGCTGAGGCAGGAGAATGGCGTGAACCCGGGAGGCGGAGCTTGCAGTGAGCCGAGATTGCGCCACTGCAGTCCGCAGTCCGGCCTGGGCGACAGAGCGAGACTCCGTCTCAAAAAAAAAAAAAAAAAAAAAATTACAACCCTTGAACTATCTCAACAGTATCAGAGCTTTATCTGTTCCTACTGACAGCAAAGTGCTGCTCTGCCCAAGGGAAAGAAATAGAGGCACAGGGGACCCCACAAGTCAGAAGCAGGAGGGAAGGGAGGAGCCTGCCAGACAGGACCTCTACTTCAGGAAACCTGGTGCCAATGCCACACACAGGGTTGTTGGACACCACAGTGCCCAGGCAAGTGTGCACACAGGGTCACTAGCTCAAAATTATTTTTTGAGAATCAGGCCTAAAGTCAGCTGAATTCCAACCCACAGTCGGCAGGCCTATTATTAGGCATAATTTCAAACAGCCAAGAGGCTGCAAGCATCCTATATCCACCACATGCTTCTGTAACTCTGCAAGGAGATGCTATAAATCTGCTCCTGAGCAGACCAAAGGCACCTGGGCCCTATCCTGGCCCCACCCCCACTCCATGGCTATCTGTCTTATTTTCACAGGGGCATCCCAAGATCACTTCAGATGACCACATATGTGAGCAGGATGGCCAAACAGTTCCCAAAAAGGGGGCAGGAGAAGGGTGGGAGCAGGACATCTCTGGGGCTAGCTAGAGGCTCCTGTGGGATTTTCTTAAATGCTGAGCGTAGGGGCTTCTGAGATGTCATTGAATATATTTTTTCATTCAAAGGTTGTATTAATACATAATTTCTAAACCTTCAGAGGCAAAAGGGAGGTAATTAGTGTTGCCACTTATAGGCTAAAAGGATGTTCCATTTTATAATTCATTCAAATATAATTTTGAGGCCGGGCCTGGTGGCTCAAGCCTGTAATCCCAGCACTTCGGAAGGCTGAGGCAGGCAGATCACACCTGAGGTCAGAAGTTCAAGACCAGCCTGGCCAACATGGTGAAATGCTGTCTCTACTAAAAATACAAAAACTGGCCACATACGGTGGCGGAAACCTATAATCCCAGCTACTCAGGAGGCTGTGGCAGGAGAATCGCTTGAACACAGGAGGTGGAGGTTGCAGTGAGCCAAGATCACGCCACTGAACTCCATCCAGCGTGGGTGACAGAGTGAGATTCTGTCTCTTAAAAAGAAATAATAATAAAACAAACAAATACAATTCTGAATTAAAATTCAAAAGATATCAATGACCAATCCAAAGCAGAAGTGGGCAAAAGCTATATGAAAATTAGAGACTTCACTGAACAACCCAAAAAAGCTCAAAACAAAAGGAAAGAAACAAACTAGCAGAACAAATGGTATAGCTAGATAAAAAGGGCTAGTATTGTAAAGACGTTAAGTCTCCACATATTAGTTTATAAAATTCTAATAGGTTCCAGTCAAAATCTCAATAGGATATTAAAAAATAATTTTTAAGACTGGGCGTGGTGGCTCACGCCTGTAATCCCAGCACTTTGAGAGGCCAAGGCAGGCAGAACACACGAGGCCAGGAGTTCAAGACCAGCCTGGCCATTACAGTGAAACCCCGTCTCTACTAAAAATACAAAAATTAGCTGGGCATGGTGGCACATGCCCGTAATCCTAGCTACTCGAGTGGCTGAGGCACAAGAATCACTTGAACTCTGGAGGCTGCAGTGAGCTAAGATCGTTCCATTGCACTCCAGCCTGGGAGACAGAGCAACAGCCTCTCTCAAAAAAAAATAGTAATTTTAAATTACTTCAAATGTACAGAAAAGTGCAAAAATAGTTCAAAGGGCTCACATACCCTCTTTCAACGAGATTCTCCAACTGATGCTTTACCTCATTTGCTCCATTATCTTTTCCTGACCCCTTTGAGAGCAGGCTGAAGGCATGAAGCTCCATTGTTGCTCAATACTCTAGTGCGTTATTTCCAAAAACAAGGACATTCTCCTCCATAACCAGCATACAAGCCTCCACATCAGGAAATCAACACTGATACTACACTCTCAATCCAATCCATAGACCCCATTTGAATTTTGTCAGCTGTCCCAACAATGTCTTTCCTTTCTAGTCCAGGAGTCTACCCCAGAGCTACATCTCACCAGTGTCAATCAATCTGGAATAGTTCCCTTTTCTCTTCCTGACTTCCATGTCCCTGCCAGAGTACAGTCTTTTCATTTTGCAGGATAACCCTCAATCTGATCTGTATTTCCTCGTGACCAGACTCAGGTCATGCTTCCTTAGCGGCAATACCAGACACATGGTGCTGTATTCTTCCCAGGACATTGCATAAGAAGAAGACTGATGGCAACCCATCCCACTACTGCTGATATTTACCACATTCACCTGGTCAAGCTTATTAGAGATGTAGTGTCTCAGGCCCCACAGACCTACAGGATCAGATTCTGCATGTTAACAAGGTCACTAGCAAGTCACACATATGTTACTGTTTGTGAAGTACCAGTGAAAGGTCTTATAAAAAGTAAGAGCCACATGGGGAAGTTCAGATTTTATTAGAAGCCTTTGGAGGGTTTTAAACTATAGAGTGGCATGATCTGGTTTCAGTTCTTAAATGGCTCCTCTGGCTGTTTTGTGGAAAACAGACCAGGGGAGGGGCAAGGACAGAGCAGGGAATTAGTTAGTTGGTAGTCTGGTTAAGGGACGTTGGCTGCATGGGTGAATGTGGTGTTGATGGAGGTAGTGACACACAGTCAAAACGGACACAGTCTGAAGTCAGAGCCAACAGAAATTGCTAACGGATCAGAAGTGGACATGAGAGTCATAACAACAATGATAAACAGCAGCAGCCAACACTAGTTAAACACAAGCCATGTGCCAGCCACTGCTCCATGTCTTTTCAGGTGAAAATTCATTCAACTGTCACAATAATCCCAAGAGGTACAAGTGACAACCCCACTTTATTCAAATGAAGACAACATGGTAGAGAGAGGTTGTGTAGCTGCCCAAGGCCTCAGATCTGAGCTTAGGCAGTGACTGGGGAGCTTGTACTCCATTCACCATCCCTTACAGAACAACTGCAAACACTGCACCATTTGTGAAGAGGAACGAGGCTGGTAAAGGGAATCAAGAGTGCTTTGCCAAACATGGCAACACGCGATTCCCATTGCACATCCACATGGAAACAGCAGGGAGACAGCCAATGCGACAGGATCTCCAAGGAAAGGTGGAGTAGAGATAAAAATGGGAAGGTCATTAGCACAGAGGTAGTATTTAAAGCCAACAGAGTAGATGAGATCACCCAGAGCAGTTTTTCAAACTGCAGGCTGTGAAATCAATTTAGTGGGTCATGAACAGCACTTAAAAAAAAATGAAATAGAGCAGAATGGAAAATAACAGAGTCCACGGCTCATGAAGTATAAGAACCGTTTTGTGAAACTTTTGTTTCTGTTGTGTCTGTGTGCACAAGACGGTGTAGTGTGTTTGTACTTGTCCGGCATTTGGTATGGCTGAACAAAAAGATTTAAAACCACTGGTCTAGAGGCTAACTTGGAGTGACTGATCCCTGCAATCACTCTATCATTTAGAAGGTGGAGAAGAGGAAAAGAAGCCAGAAAAGGAGAGTGAAGAAGTAGGAAGGAGGAAAGGCAGTGGGGGGGTCCCAAGCAAATGTGACATGTTGGACATCCAACGTGCTGGTGAGAGTCATGCAGTATGATCACAGCAGAGATGTCCATAATTATGGAATGGCAAGGTAAGCACACAGCTGTGGGAGCAGAGGGGCACCTAACCTGTTTAAACTTAGCACAGAATAAAAAAGGGAAGGAGAGAGGTGATATTAGGATTTTATTTGAGATCTAAGTTTAAGGGAACGGCAGGATATCCAGTCTGTAACTTCCATAAACAGCAAATATCCAATCATTCTTTTATTGTTGTTTTTAAGCATCTACTATGTGCTGGGCTGTTTACTAGACCTGGGAAAATAACTAGGACACTGTTCTATCCTGAAAAGCCTCAAACTGCAAGAGAGTAACGCAGGTACAGTACAGTGAAGAGAGAGGGTCAGAAGATAGGGTGCGTAACAACAGGTTTGTTGAAGGCCACGGCAATTTTCCTTTCCAACCATACTGCTCACTATTGGCCAAACCCACCACTCCACACAGACCATGCGCTCCGACCTCTTGATTTGTGCTTGGCCTCTCCCCAAAACACTTTCCAAATCTGAGTCATTCCTCAAGGCCATTTGGCTTCCTCACTGAAGGCTTCAGGAAAACGGCTCAGCTTGGTGATCTTGCCTTCCCCAAACAGCTACAGCACTTCTTGTCCATACACCATTACCTGGTGGCTGTGTCCTTATTTCCCCACTTGGTATGAATGCCTTATCTCCCCAGCTGAGCCATGTATTGTTGAAGGCATGTAACAAACATGTCTCACATCTACAAGGTCCTCAAACAGCAGCCAAGCAAACACTTGTTGCTCTGCTACTAGACTTCCCTCCAATCCAGCTTGCATTTCAGCATCTTACTGAAAAAGATCTGATTAATTCACCCCCTATTTTAAAACCTTCACTGGCTCCCAATTATTAGTACAGCACATGCAGACTTGTCTTCCAGGTGTACCACACAGCTTTCCCTTCCCTGCCTCCCAAACACCTTAAAGTTGAAGCAACAGCAATAAAAATAGTCACGTGCTACATAACACATTTCTGTCAACAATGACCACGTACACAATGGTGGTCCCATCAGAGTACAATGGAGCTGAAAAACTCCTATTGCCTGGTGATGCTGTAGCTGTCATAATGCAACATATTACCTCCTTGTTTATGGTCATGCAAGTGTAAACCTAATATACTGCCAGTGGTATAAAAGCATAGCACATACAACTATGTACAGTACATAATACTTGAAAATAAACTATGTTACTGGTTTACATATCCTATGTAGAATTCTATGTTATGTATACTATGTATTCTACTTATAAAAATAGTTAACTAAAGCTGGGTGTGGGAGCATGTGCCTATAAGTCCTAGCTACTCAGGAGGCTGAGGCAGAGAATCGCTTGAACCTGGGAGGTGGAGGTTGCAGTGAGCCGAGATCATGCCACTGCACTCCAGTCTGGGCGACAGAGAGAGACTGTCTCAAAAAAAAAACCAAAGCAAACAAACAAAAGACACTGTTATCATAGGAGATGATAGCTCCATGTGTGTTACTGACCCTAAAGACCTTCCAGTGGGCCAAGATGTGAAGCTGGAAGACAGTGATATTGATTATTCTGACCCTGTGTAGGTTTAGGCTAATGCATGTGTTTGTGTCTTAGTTTTTAACAAAAGTGTTTAAAAAGTGAAAAAATAAAAAATAAAAAATATTTAAATATGGCTCGGTGAGGTGGCTCACGTCTGTAATCCCAGTACTTTGGAAGGCCAAGGTGGGTGGATCACATGGGGTCTGGAATTCCAGACCAGCCTGGCCAACACGGTGAAACCCCGTCTCTACTAAAAAAAACACAAAAATTAGCCAGGTGTAATGGCGTGTGCCTGTAGTACCAACTACTTGGGAGGCTAAGGCAGGAGAATCGCTTGAACTCGCGACATGGAGGCTGCAGTGAGCTGAGACTGCACCATTCCACTCCAACCTGGGCGACACAGCAAGACTCTGTCTCAAATAATGATAATAAATAGAAAAAAAAGCTTATAAAGTGGCTAGGCCTGGTGGCTCACACCTACAATTCCAGAACTTTTGGGAGGCAGAGGAGAAAGGATTGCTTGATGCCAGGAGTTTGAGACCAGCCTGGGCAACATAGCATGACTCCAGCTCTATAAAAACTAAAAAAACGTAGCCAAGCACGGTGGTATGCACCTGTAGTCCTAGCTACTCAGGAGGCTTAAGTGAGGGTTGCTTGAGCCCAGGAGTTTGAGGTTACAGGGAGCTATGACTGTGCCACTGCACTCCAGCCTGGAACAGAGTAAGACCTTATCTCTAAGAGTAATTAATAATAATCATAAAAAAGTTTATAGAATAACACAATGACAGAAAATATTTTTGAACAGCTGCACAATGTATTTGTGGTTTAAGCTAAGTGTTATTACAAGAGTCAAAAGGTTACAAATTTTTAAAGTTTTTAAAGTAAAAAAGTTACAGTAATCTGGCCAGGGACTGGTGGCTCATGCCTGTAATCCCAGCATTTTGAGAGGCCCAGGCGGGTGGATCACAAGGTCAGCAGATCAAGACCATCCTGGCTAATACGGTGAAACCCCGTCTCTACTAAAAATACAAAAAATTAGCCAGGTGTGGTGGCGGGCACCTGTAGTCCCAGCTACTCGAGAGGCTGAGGCAGAAGAATGACGTGAACCCGGGAGGCGGAGCTTGCAGTGAGCCAAGATCAAGCCACCGCACTCCAGCCTGGGCGACAGAGAGAGACTCCGTCTCAAAAAAAAAAAAAAAAAAGTTACAGTAATCTAAGGTTAATAATATCAAAACAAGAAAACTTTAAAAAATAAATTTAGTGTAGTCCAAATGTACAGTGTTTATACATCTACAGTAGTGTGCAGTAACGTCCTGGGCCTTTACCTTCATTCACCATTCACTCACTGACTCACCCAGAACAACTTCCTTATCTTTTATACCTTATTTTTACTGTACCTTCTCTATGTTTAGACATATGCAGATACATACTTACCACTCTTTTACAATCTCCTACAGCATTCAGTACAGTAACATGCGGTACAGGTTTGTATCCTAGGAGCAATAGGCTATACCACATAGCCTAGATGGGCAGTCGGCTACACCCAGGCTAGGTGTGTGTAAGTACATCCTAAGATGTTAGAACAACGACAAAAATCACTCAATGATGCACTTCTTAGAAATATTCTGTTGTTAACTGAGGCATGATTGTACCAAAACAAAAAAAAAACAACGTACCACCAGCACCAAAGGTGCCAGAGATGAAAATTAGAAAGACGACTGATATTCATTCAACTGCTGACAACAGATGTTTTGGGGGTGGGATTACAGGGCATAGTCATCTTTCAGCAACTAGTTCGATCGGCCGGGCGCAGTGGCTCACGCCCGTAATCCCAGCACTTTGGGAGGTCGAGGCGGGCGGATCACGAGGTCAGGAGATCGAGACCATCCTGTCTAACACGGTGAAACCCCATCTCTACTAAAAAAAATACAAAAAAATTAGCACGGCGTGGTGGCGGGCACCTGTGGTCCCAGCAACCCGGGAGGCGGAGCTTGCAGTGAGCCTAGATCGTGCCACTGCGCTCCAGCCTGGGCAACAGAGCAAGACTCCGTCTCCAAAAAGAAAAAAAAAAAAAAAAACTAGTTTGACCAACATGCTAATTTTAAAACAAATAAAATTTAAAAGAAAACAATAATTGCAACTACTTTTATTGAGTGTTTAAATTATGTGCAATGCAATATTTTTTGTTTGTTTTGAGACAGAGTCTCCCTCTGTCGTCCAGGCTGGAGTGCACTGGTGCAATCTCGGCTCAGTGCAACCTCTGCCTCCCTGGTTCAAGCAATTCTCCTGCCTCAGTCTCCCAAGTAGCTGAGATTACAGGCTTGTGCCACAATACCCGGCTAATTTTTGTATTTTTAGTAGAGGCGAGGTTTTAACCATGTTGGCCAGACTGGTCTCGGACTCCTGACCTGAAGTCATCCACCTGCCTCGGCCTCCCAAAGTGCTAGGATTACAGGTGTGAGCCATCACACCCAGCTGCAATGCAATATATTATAGTCTCATTTAATCTTAACTCTATTATGCAGTAACTAGCCATTCTGCAGATGAGGAAACAAAGGCTCAGAAAGTTTAGTAACTCTCATAAGGTTATACAGCCAGTCAGTAAGGAAGACAGGCTGGGACTAACAAGGAATGTGCCCTAACTTCTACTGTTCTTAGCAATGTTCTGTGTATTCCCAGCACACCCAGCAGGCACCTTCTGCACCTTTTCGTTTGTTCAGCCTGGTCCTTCTGCGTGAATAATACCAGCTTTGCTGACATACCACTCACCTTTCAAGTCCAGTGCAAATCGCACTTTTCCCTTAACACCTTCCTAGAACACAAGCCATGATAAGCATTACCAGAGTTATCTACCCTTCTATTTCCCCCACAGCGTGGGACCTTAGTTCTCTTACTGCCACGCACAGAGCAAGCAATCGAACACTGGGTGAATTAAGTTGACAATATAAATTCTCTTTCTGACAAATGTAAAGGTAACAGATGAAGACCAAAAGTTTTAATCTGTGAGGAAAATTAATACCAAGAAAGGGTTTCCATAATCCCTACCTGCATTCTCTGCTCTGAACCTCACCTCTCACTGAGGCATAAGGAAAGGCAGGTTAATTTTCACCTCTTCCAAAAAGTGGCTTTACATAATAAATCCCACTTCTGAAGAATAAAAGCTACCTAACTTGTTATTAAAAATGTAAGCAATGAGAATAAAAAGGTTTCTTTAGAGTTTTTAAAATTACTTTCAATGCCTCTAGCCCTTGAAAGAAAGCACTTAAGTTTAGTACAAACAAAATGTAAAAACATGAAAACTTACTTTCCCTATACATAAACATGGAGACACAAAACCAGTGAAACAGACACGTTTAAAATTCAAAATGCTCTTAACTGACCACATCCTAATTTACGAGCAGAAGTCGAGTCCAAACAAAAACACACTGTAAAACAAAAGTGCTGGCTAACAACCTTAGAAAGAAAATATAGGAGGGGACAAACAGATTTTAATGTGTCCTTGGCCTTCCTGAGCAAAGCAATGAGAAATGCAGTCAACCAAAGCATTTAGACTTGATTTTACTGGACGTACCAACACCATAGGTCAACCTGTCAAATGAAGCAAAAAGCAGAACCGAGTTCTATGGGTTTAGTCCCCTCCAGATAAAAGCCAATGAACCTTTTTACAGTTTATGGGGTCCTCTCCATATGGCTGGGGATGCAGGCATGGGAGGAATATTGTCTGGACGATTAATTCCTGTGAAATGAACACAGGAGTTAGGAGGAGCGGAGGTGAGTCAACACACTCTACACTTCCACGGTTGCCTCAAACTCACCACAATTCCAAAATACCAAGAAACAATGTGCTAGTTCTTGCTTTTTTTAAGTGTCCATAAGCTAAAAGTCCTTCTGAAGATTGAGCGTCCCACTTAAAAGCCCAAACCAAAAAATAGTTTGCAGGATTATTTCAAATATATTAAAAACATCAAAATGCTAACTCCAAACTAAGGTGAAATAGTTACATCTAAGTATCCAAGAAGAGCATCAAGAATTAGCAAATTAATTTAGGGTCAGAAAACCTAATAATTAGGGTCAGAAGAACAAAAAGATCATTTCGGTAGCATAAGAACTTTGTGCCGGGTGCAGTGGCTCACGCCTGTAAATCCCAGAACTTTTGGAGGGCAGGGCAGGCGGATCACGAGGTCAGGAGTTCAAGACAAGCCTGGCCAACATGGTGAAACCCCACCTCTACTAAAAAAAATACAAGAATTAGCCAGGCATAGTGGCGCATGCCTGTAGTCCCACATACTCGGGAGGCTGAGGCAGGAGAATTGCTTGAGCCCAGGAGACAGAAGTTGCAGTGAGCCGAGATCGTGCCACTGCACTCCAGTCTGGCCAACAGAATGAGACTCTGTCTCAAAAAAAAAAAAAAAAAGAACTTTGTAAATGTCTGTCGCTCTAGACCTTATTTTAGGGTGCAAGCCATAACTATGATAAGGAGGGTGCCATGTATAAATGTAACAGACACTGAGACAAAAGAAAACTACTCCTGACAGCAGTTTGCTGTCTTTCCCAAGAGATTTGAGGAACAGTAACCATAAAACTTTCCTCCTCCCTTCTCAACTGGGGACTTCTCTGATGTAATATCAGGGAGAAGAACAAGGGAACATTGGGTATCAACTGGTGCACACCATCTCTCTCCTGAAGTGACAGAAAGAACATTGAGTAGTACTATCTTACCTAGAGTCAAACTAAATGACTTGAACAAAGAGACCAAGAAAAACATGTTTAGAAAATCATCTAGAAATAGGATTTTATTTTAGTAAGCGAAGTGAACAAAAAATACAATTTTATTTGTACATACAATTGCTTCCACTATTAAATTTGTTTTCTATTGATTCTTCTGGGTCATCTGTTGGAAAAAGTACTACATTTAGAATTAAGAAATCTAAATACTTCCTAGTCTTGCCACTTGTTCTGTGACTTGGGCAAGTTATTTAACCCATATGTCTCACATTCTTCACCTGCAAAAGTGGAGTTAACCTACCTTGCCACCACACGGGAATGTCCCACAGTAAGTCTGCAAACAGCTAAGTACCATATAAATCAAAATTATCACTGTTAGAATTACCACCCTCTTTCCCTCTCTCAGGTAAAAACTTGAACCAATAATAAAATAAGTAAAAGACACCAGACATGGTGGCTCACGCCTATAATCCCAGCACTTTGGGAGGCCGAGGCAGGCAGATCACTTGAGGTCAGGAGTTCAAGATCAGCCTGGCCAACATGGTGAAACCCTGTCTCTACCAAAAATACAAAAATTAGCTGGGCATGGTGGCAGGCACCTGTAATCCGAGAATCACTTGCTTGTACACCCAGGAAGCAGAGGTTGCAGTGAGCCGAGATCTCACCACTGCACACTCCAGCCTGGGTGACAGTGAGATTCCACTTCAAAAAAACAAACAAAAACAAAAACAAAAAAACAAGTAAAAGACAACAAGGAAAAAAATGGAAAAGAGGTTATCAAACAAACAAAATAAACCCTAAAAAACACAATAAATAACTACTGATTGGTGTAACAGCACTCTGTGACAGGTAATTTTTGTCATTCTCGAGTTAGGAAAGATCCCACACCCTGGGATCTACAGTCCATTCATAGAAATCACAGCAGGGTTAAATCCTCATCAATCCTCTAATTCACAATGAAGAATGCCGACGGAGCGCATTCTTAATCTATATGGCAAGAACTACAAGCCACAGGACCAATCCCCACCCTCCCCACAGAGGGACAGTGGCCTGACAGTTGGAGCTCTACTTGGAGGCAGATGGCCTCTAAAGTGCAAGAGTTTTCCCTTCTTCCCTGACCACTGGCATGCAATTAGCAAACACCCTAACCCCAGTCATTCTGAAATAAGCCAATGGAGAGTCACCTGCAATCCTAAATTTTGAAAATAAAAAAGTCAAAGAGACACAAACATTCTATGAAAAATCAGCCACAAGCATAACATTGCAGGTATTGTGGGTCTGGTTCCAGACCGTGGCAATAAAGCGAGTCACACAAATTTTCTGGTTTTCCAGCACATATTAACTTTTATATGTGTACGCTATACTTCAGTCTACTAAGTGTGAAATGGTATTATGTCTAAAAGACAATGTTCATACCTTAATTTAAAAAATACTTTATCGTTAAAAAATGCTAACAATCATCTGAGCCTTCAGGGAGTCCTAATCTTTTTGCTGACGGAGGGTCTTGCCTCCATGTTGATGGCTGCTGACTAATTAGGGTGGTGGTTGCTGAAGGCTGAGGTGGCTGTGGCAAATTTCTTCAAATAACACACCCATGAAGTCTGACGCATCGACTGGCTCTTCCTTTTCTAAGAGATTTTTCTATAGCATGCCAAACTGTTTGATAGCATTTTACCCACAGTGGAACTTCTTTCAAAACTGCAGTCAGTTCTCTTCAACCCCGCCACTGCTTAATCAACTACGTTTATGTAATATTCTAAATCTTTCATTGGCATTTCAACAATGTTCACAGCATCTTCATCAGGAGTAGATTCCATCTCAATAAATCACTTTCTTTGCTCATCCATAAGCAGCAACTCCTCATCTGTTCAAGTTTTATCATGAGATTACAGCAATCCAGTCACATCTCCAGGCTCCACTTTTAATTCGAGTTCTCTTGCTATTTCTACCACATCTGCAGTTCCTGCCTCCACTGAAGTCCTGAACCCCTCAAAGTCATCCATGAGGGCTGGAATCATCTTCCAAACTCCTGTTCATGTACTGACCTCCTCCCATGAATCACAAATGTTCTTAATGGCATTTAGAATGGTAAATCCTTTCCGAAAGGTTTTCAATTCACTCTGCCCAGACCCACTAGAGGAATTATTATGTATAGCAGCTAGAGCCTTATGAAACATATTTCTTAAATAAGACTTGAAAATCAAAATGATTCCTTGATCCAGGGGCTGCAGAATAGATGTTGTGTTAGCAAGCATGAAAACAACATTTATCTCCTTATACATTTCCATCAGAGCTCTTAGGTGACCAGGTATACTGTCAAGAAGTAATATTCTGAAAGAAATCTTTTGAGTAGTAGGTCTCAACAGTGGCCTTAAAATATTCATTAAACCATTCTGTAAACAGATGTGCTGTCATCTAGGTTTTGTTGATCCACTGACAGAGCACAGGCAGAGTAGATTTAGCATAAATTTATGGGCCCTAGAATTATTAGAATGGTAAATGAGCACTGGCATCAACCTAAATTCACCAGCTACACCAGCTCCTAATAACAGTCAGCCTGTCTTTTGAAGCCAGGCACTGACTTCTCCTAATTATGGAAGTCCTAGATGGCATCTTTTCTGACATAAGGCTACACTGAATATCTGTTCAATATAGCCACCTTCATCAGTGATCTTGGCTACATCTTCTAGATAACTTGCTGCAGCTTCTACATTAGCACTTGCTTCAACTTGCATTTTAATGTTACAGAGATGGTTTCAAGAACTTTAGGAACCAATCTGTGCTAGCTTCAAACTTCACTTCTGCAGCTTCTTACTTTTTTCAGCCTTCACAGAAGTGAAAAGAGAAAGTCTTGCTCTGGGATTAGGCTCTGGCTTAAGGGAATGTTGCGGCTGGTTGATTTTCCATCTGAGTCACTAAAACTTTTCCATATCAGCAATAAGCTGTTTCGTTTTCTTCTCATTCATGTGTTCACTGGAGTTGTACTTTTAACTTTCTTCAAGAACCTTTTCTTGCATTCATAACTTGGCCACGTTTGGTGCAATAGGCCTAGTATTCAGCCTATCTTGGCTTTTGACATGCCTTCCTCACTAAACCATCATTTCTAGCTTCTGATTTAAAAGTGAGAGATGTGCAATTCTTCCTGTCACTTGAACATTTAATGGTCATGATCAGGTTATTAACTGACCTAACTTCAATACTGTTGTGTCTGAGGTAACAGAGAGACCTGAGGAGGTGGTGAGATGGGGGGACACCCAGTTGGCAGCAGTCTGAACACACATCTATACACAACATGTATATATTAAGTTCGCCGTCTTATATGGGAGTGCTTTGTGGCGCTCCAAAACAATTACAAAAGTAACATCAGGCCGGGCGCGGTGGCTCACGCCTGTAATCCCAGCACTTTGGGAGGCCGAGGTGGGTGGATCATGAGGTCAGGAGATTGAGACCAACCTGGCTAACACGGTGAAACCCTGTCTCTACTAAAAATACAAAAAAATTAGCCAGGTGTGATGGCGGGCACCTGTAGTCCCAGCTACTCGGGAGGCTGACGCAGGAGAATGGCGTGAACGCGGCAGGCAGAGCTTGCAGTGAGCCGAAATCGCACCACTGCACTCCAGCCTGGGCGACAGAGCGAGACTCCATCTCAAAAAAGAAAAAAAAAAGTAACATCGATGATCACTGATCACAGATCTTCATGACAGATAACAATTTTAAAAGTTTAAGGCTGGGCGCGGTGGCTCATGCCTGTAATCCCAGCACTTTGGGAGGCCGAAGCGGGTGGATCATCTGAGAACAGGAGTTCGAGACCAGCCTAGCCAATACGGAGAAACCCCGTCTCTACTAAAAATACAAAATTAGCAGGGCGTGATGGCGCATGCCTGTAATCCCAGCTACTCGGGAGGCTAAGGCAGGAGAATCACTTGAACCCCGGAGGCGGAGATTGCAGTGAGCCAAAATCACGCCATTGCACTCCAGCCTGGGGAACAAGAGTGAAAATCTCTCTCAGAAAAAAAAAAAAAGTTTAAAATATTCAGGCCAGGTGTGGTGGCTCATGCCTGTAATCCCAGCACTTTGGGAGGCTGAGGCAGGCAGATCACTTCAGGTTAGGAGTTCCAGACCAGTCTGGCCAACACAGTGAAACCCCACCTCTACTAAAAATAAAAATATTAGCCGGGCATGGTGGTGCACACCTGTAATCCCAGCTACTCACGAGGCTGAGGGGGAGAATCGCTAGAACCCAGGAGGTGGAGGTTGTAGTGAGCCGAGATGGCGCCACTTCACTCCAGTGCAGCTCTGGGAGACAGAGCGAGACTCCGACTCAAAAATAAATAAAATAAAATGAATAAAATGTTTAAAATATTGGGAGAATTACCAAAATGTGGCACAAAGACACAAAGTGAGCACATGCTGTTGAAAAATTGGCACCAACAGACTTAGACTTGCTCAATGCAGGGTTGCAATAAACCTTCAATTTATAAAACAAAAAAATCCCACAATATCTGTGAAGTACAATAAAGTAGAATGCAATAAAATGAGGTATCCCTGTATTTCCAAAGCTTCTAGGTGGTAATAATAATAGCTAAAATTTATCTAATCATTACTGTAAGTCTGGCAATGTTCTAAAAGCTTTAGTTATGAACTAATTTAACTGGCACAGCCACCCACGAGGTAGGTACAATTATTATTTCCATTTTCTAGACAACGAAACAGAGGCAGAATAGTCATTTGCTTGACGTCACATTGCAAACAAGGGGCAGAGCTGGGATTCAAAAATCAGGCGACTGGCTGCAGAGATCATGCTCTAGATAGTGAGTCTTAAAGCACCCACCAACCAATACCACCTGGTTTACCCAAACAATTCAGGCATCTTAACAGTGTCACACAGAGACATAAACAATAATACAGTATAATAGTATCACTCACCATATGGTCACTTGTTTCAAGGTTAATGTTAGAATAACATGAGTCCATGAAAATAAGACCTTGTTTTCTGTTTACAGTAATACAGACTAAATAACTGCACAAAAAACTGGATACAATATATATACATCTTTCCAAAAGTAACAAAAATCTAACAAGATAGTGAGATATTACCAAATTAATATCCTGAAAAAGATGGAAATCCAAAGAAAGAGGCAAGACCTGGGGGCATTTGTTGATTTGCCAGTGGAGGCCCAGAAAGTGCCTGGCTCACTCCAAGGCCTTGCATAGGAGATAACTTATAACTCATAACTCAGTAACGCGCTCCTCACCCCAGCGAACCTGTGAACTGAGGCCCCATAGGGCTGCATCCTAGGAGTAAGACTGAAGTAGAAGTAAATAAGCCCTCCCATGGACTCAGCTTCAAACCATCTGGATAGTCCATAAAAAACTCAAATCTTCAACTTTTTTTTTTTTCTGAGACAGAGTCTTGCTCTGTCCCCCCCAGGCTGGAGTGCAGTGGCGCCATCTCAGTTCACTGCGACCTCCGCCTCCCGGGTTCATACGACTCTCCTGCCTCAGCCTCCCAAGTAGCTGGGATTACAAGCACCCGCCATCACGCCCGGCTAATTTCTGTATTTTTAGTAAGGAGGGGGTTTCACCATGTTGGCCAGGCTGGTCTCGAACTCCTGACCTCAGCTGATCTGCCTGCCTCAGTCTCCCAAAGTGCTCTGGGATTACAGGCCTTAGCCAGCGCGCCTGGGCTTCAACTTGTATTAAAATGATCCTCGTTGGCTAGTGCCGTCAGTCACCTGGAAAAAGACATCACACCCAAAGCCTCTAATTATTTCTATAAACAATTTTTCAAATACCATGTCCAGCACACAAACATATGAACAAAGTACCATGAGTAAGAACCATGAGAGGCAGTTATAGATCCAAAGGAACTCCAAATACTGGAGATATCAGGAGACTATAAAAGAATTATATTTAGTATGTTCTAGGAAATAAAAGCGAAGTTTGAAAAATTTAGCAGGGAACAGGAATCCATAAAAAACAATGTAGCAGACTTGAAAAGAATCACAACTGAAAAATACAGTAAGATATTGGTAAGAACTATCCATTGAGTTATTAAATTAAAAGCAGATTAATCGGCTGGCGCGGTGGCTCATACTTGTAATTCCAGCACTTTGGGAGGCTGGGGCAGGTGGCTCACTTGAGGCCAGGAGTTGAAGACCAGCTTGGCCATCATGGTGAAACTCCATCTCTACTAAAAGTACAAAAATTGGCCAGGTGTAGGGGCACACACCTGTGGTCCCAGCTACTCGAGAGGTTAAGGCACAAGAACTGCTTGAACCCAGGAGGCAGAGGGTGCAGTGAGAGCCAAGATCGTGCCACTGCACTGCACCCCAGCCTGGGCGAAAGAGTGAGACTCTTGTCTCAAAAAAACGCAGATTAGTCAAAGAGAAGACTGATTAACTGAAAACAGGTCAAAGTAATCTACCCAGAATGAAAAATAGAAAAGAAAAAAAACACTTGTAATGGATGCCATTTAATCCCAGCACTTTAGGAGGCTTAGGCGGGCAGATCAGGAAGTCAGGAGATCGAGACCATCCTGGCTAACACAGTGAAACCCCGTGTCTACTAAAAATACAAAAAATTAGCCAGGCGTGGTAATAAGTGCCTGTAAGTCCCAGCTACTCGGGAGGCCGAGGCAGAAGAATCACTTGAACCCAGGAGGCGGAGGTTGCAGTGAGCCGAAATCGCACCACCGCACTCCAGCCTGGGCGACAGAGCGAGACTTCGCCTCAAAAAAAAAAAAAAAAAAAAAAAAACAGAAAAGAAAGGGTGACTACAAGGTTGAATGTATCCCTGTATGGGTGGACTCTTAGAATGAGAAGGGAATGGAGGCAAGGCAGTAAGTGAGGAGAAGTATTGGGAATTTTCCAGAACAAATAAGAGATATCACCAAAGAATCAAGAATCTTGGTGAATACAAAACAGATGGTCTCTATTATCTAGAATGTCTTCCAAAAATAACATGAACCTGTTCTGTAAGTATAGTACCACCACAATTAAATATCTATTGTGGTCATATTAGGGGTTATCATAGGGTATACTATATAGACGAACTTACAACACTCTCAGCACGTGAGGAGCTCAAAGTCAAGGATTTAGAAGAGGTATTTTCAACTGTGAAGATCTCTCTACCCGGCCAGGCGAGGTGGCTCACACCTATAATCCCAGCACTTTGGGAGGCTGAGGCACGCGGATCACCTGAGGTCAGGAGTTCAAGACCAGCCTGGCCAACATGGTGAAACCCCATCTCTACTAAAAATACAAAACTTGGCCAAGGGTGGTGGTGGGCACCTGTAATCCCAGCTACACGGGAGACTGAGGCAGGAGAATCACTTGAACCCAGGAGGCAGAGGTTGCAGTGAGTGGAGATCGCACCACTGCACTTCAGCTTGGGTGACAGAGCAAGACTCTGTCTCAAAAAAAGAAAAAAGACATGCAGGAACCTTAAATGATTATTGCTAAGTGAAAGACATGAATCTGAAGTGGCTACATGACTTTAGCTATATAATATTCTGGAAAACACCAAACTGTAAAGTCAGTAGGAAGATCAATGATTACCAAGGATCCAAGGGAAGAGGGGGAAGGATGAATACGGAGAGAGTACAGGTGACTCCTGGGATAGTGAAACAATTCTGTATAATACTGTATTAGCAGATGTAAGACATTATGCATTTGTCCAAACCCACAGAATATACAACAAAGAATGAACTCAAGTCAGTTGCTGTGGCTAGCACCTGTAATCTCACCTGAATCCAGCAGCTCAAGGTTACTGCGAGCTATGATTGTACCACTGCACTGGCTGGCAGAGCAAGACACTGTCTCAAAAAAAAAAAAAAAAAAAAAAAAAAAAAGTCAGGCATGATGGCTCACGCCTGTAATCCCAGCACTTTGGGAGGCTGAGGTGGACTGATCACTTGACGTCAGAAATTTGAGACCAGCCTGGCCAACACGGTGAAACCCTGTCTCTACTAAAAATATAAAAATTAGCAGGCATGGTGGTGGGTGCCTGTAATCCCAGCTACTCAGAAGGCTGAGGCAGGAGAATCGCTTGAACCCTGGAGGTGGAGGTTGCAGTGAGCTGAGATCACACCACTGCACTCCAGCCTGGGCAACAGAGCAAGACTCCCTCTCAAAAACAAACAAAAAAAGGTCAAATATGAACTGGACTTGAGTTAATAATAAAATATCAATACTGTATATCAAGTGTAGCAAATGCACCACACTAATATGAGATATTAGTAATAGTGGAACCTATGGTTGGATTGAGGGAGGGTAAACAGGAACTCTCTTATTGCTCATTTTTTCTGTAAACCTAAAACTGCTCTAAGCAATAAAGTCTACTAACATTTCTCTTAAAAAGTTAATGTATCAGGAAAAATGAACCACAATGACACAGCACTTCATACCCATAGGTATGGCTATAGGAAAGAAAACAAAAAATTACAAGTGTTGGTGATGATGTGGAGAGACTGGAACCCTCACATATTGCTGGTGGGGGCCAGGCACACTGGATCACTTGAAGCCAGGAGTTAGGAGACCAGCCTGGCCAACCATGGTGAGACCCTGTCTATAAAAATACAAAAATTAGACAGGTATGGTGGCACATACCTGTAATCCCAGCTATTTGGGAGGCTGAAGCAAGAGAATCACTCGAGCCCAGTGAGTGAAGCCTGTAGTGATCCACGATCATGCCACTGCCCTCCAGCCTGGGCCACACATGGGAATATAAAATATTCAGCCACTGTGAAAAAGTCTGGTGGTTCTTCAAAAAGTTGAATACAGAATTACACGATCCAGCAACTCCATTCCTAGGTATATACTCAAAATAAGTGAAAACAGGTATCCAAACAAATAGATATACACACATGTTCATAGCAGCACTATTCAAAATAGCCAAAAGGTGGAAACAACCGAAATGTCCATCAACAGATGAACGGATGAACAGATTGTGGTATATACATAAAACTGAGTATGTATTCAGCCATGAAAAGGAATGAAGTACTCATACACAATACAATGTAGATAAATCTCAAAACACTACGCGCTAAGTGAAAGAAGTCAGACATGAAAGGTCACATATTGTACGATTCCATCTAATGAAATATCCAAAAGAAGTAAATCTAAAAACAGAAAGCAGATCGGTGGTTGCAAAGGACTGGCAGAAGAGGGCAAGGGGAGTAACTGCTTAATGGGTAGCAGGTTTACTTTGGGACTAGATACAGGTTGTTATGGGTGCACACATTGTGAATGCAGCAAACGCCACTCGAGTGTTCGCTTAAAAATGATTAATTTTGTCACGTGAATTTCATATCAATTTAAAAAAATCTGGCTGGGCGCAGTGGCTCACACCTGTAATCCCAACACTTTGGGAGGCTGAGGCAGGAGGATCACTTGAGTTCAGGAGTTCAAGACCAGCCTGGACAACATGGCGAAACCCCATCTCTACAAAAAAAAATACCAAAATCAGCTGGGCATGGTGGTGCGCACCTGTAATCCTAGCTACTGGGGTGGTTGAGGCACAAGATTTGCTTCAGCCTGGGAGGCGGAGATTGCAGTGAGCCGTGATCATGCCACTGCACTCCAGCCTGGGCAACAGAGCCGGATCCTGTCTCAGAAGAGAAAAAGAAAAAGAAAAAAAATCTCTAAAAAGGTGTAACTGAGAAGAACCTAGGACATGCAAGAGCAAGTAATTCATTACATAGTCTTCCCCTTTAGTTATCTCCCTTACTCCTTTTTTTCTCTTTGTAGCTGGGACTACAGGCATGCACCACTATGCCCGGCTATTTTTAATTTTGTAGAGACGAGGTCTCACTATGCTGCCCAGGCTGGTCTCCAACACCTGGGTTCAAGTGATCCTCCCACCTAGCATCCCATTGTAGGCGTCAACTACTGTGTCCAGCCTCCTTTACTCCTGTCTCATTCCCATGGCTACTCATCTCGGCCCTGCAAAAACATGAAACGTGGAAGAACAAGATGCTATCTGGGAGGTTTCTAACACTAAATTAAATATTGTTTCTTTGAACACTGACCTACTTCTCCCTTAAGAACTGAGTCCTAGTACTAAAAACTAACCTTTCACCATCATCTTCCTAAAATATTGTGATACCTTCTGCAATGCCCTTTTAAGGGGGTCAAGACAATTCATGTATTCACCCTAAGACAGCTTCCTCCAGCGCGATGTCAACCTTTCTGCCCACCTGCTCAGGACCTCAATTTTGCTAAGATCACTAGCTCTTACTAAGCTTTGGTAGAATTAACCAATGTTTTCTAGCGCCTTTCCCTCTCTATGGCCAATTTTATTTTTAAATTTTATTTATGTATTTTTTGGAGAGAAGGTCTCACTACGTTGCCCAGACTGGTCTCCAACTCCTCGCCTCAAGCAATCCTCCCACCTCAGCCCCTGAATAGATGGAATTACAGGCATGAGCCACCACAGCCAGCTCTATGGTCAAATTTTTACAACGTATTATCAATGATCTAGTTGTCTGTTTCCCACACAATACTGTTGAACACCCTGAGGACAAGTACTAGGACTCATCCCCAAACTCTGAAAAATGGTGCTTCTCAGTCGTTTCCCCATTTGGTTTCTTTTCTTCTACTCTAAAATACTAGACCCAATTTGCTTAATTCTTTTTCTTTTTTCTTTTTTTTCTGAGATGGAGTCTCACTCTGTCACCCAGGCTGGAGTGCACTGGTGTGATCTTGGCTCACTGCAACCTCCACCTACCAGGTTCAAGTGATTCTCTTACCTCAGCCTCCGTGTAGCTGGCGTTACAGGCGCATGCCACCACGCCCAGCTAACTTTCGTATTTTTGGTAGAGACAGGGTTTCGCCATGTTGGCCAGGCTGGTCTTAAACTCTTTACCTCACCTCAAGTGACCCATCCGCCTCGGCCTCCCAAAGTGCTGGGATACAGGCATGAGTCACCAGGCCTGGCCTCAATATACTTAATTCTTTACCTACATTGTTTCTCCTGGCTTCAAAAAGCTTCCTGACCACCAAAACTAATCCTTGGAAAAGGACAAGTCTTCCCTACACCAAAACTAAATACCATTGTTTGCCTTTTTCTCGTACGTGTTTTTCTCTACCTCTAAAATGATTGCTTGTTCATGTGTTCAATGCACCGTAGAGGATACGGCAAGTGCCAATACCATAATCTTGCCCTCAGGGAGGACTGGGGAAGGAGGGCAAGAACACATTTAGAAAGGTATAATAGGCTGGGCACGGTGGCTCACGCCTGTAATCCCAGCATTTTGGGAGGCTGAGGCAGGCAGATCACGAGGTCAGGAGTTTGAGACCAGCCTGGCCAACATGGTGAAACGCCATCTCTACCAAAAATACAAAAATTAGCCAGGCGTGGTGGCGGGTGCCTGTAATCCCAGCTACTTGGGAGGCTGATGCAGGAGAACTGCTTGAACCTGGGAAGCAGGGGTTGCAGTGAGCCGAGATTGCGCCACTGCACTCCAGCCTGGGGGACAGAGCAAGACTCTGTCTCAAAAAATTAAAAAAAAAAAAAAAAGGAAAAAAGAAAGGTATAATAAAAAGCAAAAAGCAAAGATTAAAGGTGCACCAGAAAATTACAAACGTCATGAAGGAAACATCCAGTTAAGGGAATGTTAGATTTCATGGAGAAAAGTAACATTTGAGAAAGGCCTTGAAATATAACTATCTCAAAAGATGGAGAACAGGCTGCACGCGGTGGCTCATACCTGTGATCCCAGCACTTTGGGAGGCCGAGGCAGGTGGATCACCTGAGGTCAGGAGTTAGAGACCAGCCTGGTCAACATGGTGAAATCCCATCTCTACTAAAAATATAAGAATTTGCTTGGCGTGGTGGCAGGCGCCTGTAATCCCAGCTACTCAGGAGGCTGAGGCAGGAGAATGGCATGAACCCGGGAGGCGGAGCTTGCAGTGAGCCGAGATGGTGCCACTGCACTCCAGCCTGGGTGATAGAGCGAGACTCCATCTCAAAAAAAAAAAAAAAAAAGATAAGATGGAGAACAGAAAAGAGGACACGGACCCAGACCTGGAAATAAAGGCACCTCTGGGGACACCGAGCTGCAGCAGAGGATACAACTGGGGAAACCAGGAGATGTGGTTAGAGAGGCAGGGCAGGGTCCTACCATGGAACCCTGAAGACCAAGGCAAGGTGTCTAAATTTAACTCAGTACACAAATGAAAAGGATACGACAAGAGCTACCTTTCAGAAGATTTTCTGGCAGTAGTTGGGAAGACACTAGACCAGGGACTGGGGAAGAAAGGTTACTATTCACGAAGCTACAAGAGCTCAGGCAGGTCCAGCACCATGCTCATTTAAACCACTACCAATCTCTACTTCCACAAGCCTTGACCTGTCTCCTACTTGACTGGTTCCTCCGCATCTCTTCAAGACACCTCTCTTCAATTTCCTCACTTAAAATCACTAACTAGAAAGAAAAAATTAATAGTCTGTTCTACAGAAGTGACTTAAAAAGTGAATATTGTAGACTGATACAACCTTCTGGTTCATAGCCTTTACAACAAATATGTTGGCTCCTACTGTGTGTCAGGCACTACTCTAGGAAACATGGATGCAGACAGGGATGGAGTAGGCAAAGTTTCCATCCCATGGTGCTTACATTTTGTGAAGGAAACAGATACAAGACAAGACTGTCAGATAATTGCTGTGAAGGGAGAACAGGGCTGAGGGAGAGAGCACGTACTCATGTGGGCGCTGCCTGGGCTCAGGTGGGCAGGGAAAGCCTGTCAGTGTGGGGAGAAAGCAGCAGCCACATGGTGTACATTTTTACAAAGTATACATTTTACACTAAAAGGGAGAAACAGGTTTTGAAGCCACATAGAGTTGCATGCCAGCCCTGGCTCTATCACTTGGTGGCTGAGGAACCTCTTCCAAATGAATGAATCTCTCTTCAGTCTGTTTCTTTATCCCCGTTTTACAGATAAAATACTGACTTTATTGGGTTATTCTGAGAGAATTAAATAATGAATATAAAACGTGCACTGTGCCTGGTACTGGGTAAGGGATCTGTAAATATTAACTACTGATTTACTACATCAGTGATTAAATATACATAGAAATTATTTTGCTGCTATATCTAAACACTAGATTTAGCAAAAACTGTCTGCAATCAGTACCAATCATAATCCCAAATGCCATAATCCTGAATGTTAAAATCCCAAAAGACTAAAGTCTAAAAATCCCTAATGTTTAAAACCACAACCCCAAAAGATTAAAATCCCAAATGATGAAATCCCAAAAGCCGAATTTTGGGGCAGGGAATTTGCATAGTTTTGGTTGTACACAATAGTTACACCATGCTAGGTGGAACTATGACCTTGCTATTGTCATTATCTGGAAATTAAGTATGGTTTAAGGAGATGCCTATGGGTACCAAGTTGCCGAGGATAGATTTGTGGACTTAATTTTAGCTATCAACTTGACAGGAACACCTAGAAACCTGGTAAAGCACTGTGTTGTGTGTGTGTCTGTGAGGATGTTTTCAGAGATTAGTGTGCGAGTCTGAGTAGGCAAGGAGAGCCCTCTATGTTGGTGGGTATCATCCAATCAGCCAGGAGCCCAGGGAGTACACAGAAGGTGAATTGCTGAGAGCTAGAACAGACTTTTCTTCTGCTGCCTTGGACATCAGAACTCCAGGCTTGCCAGCCTTTGGACTCCAGGACTTAACCAGTGGCCCCCTGAATTCTGAGGCTTTTTGACCTTGGACCGAGAGATAACACCATTAGCTTCCCTGGTTCTGAGGCCTTTGGATTTGGACTGAGGTATGCTACTGGCATCCCAGGGTCTCAAGCCTGCAGATGATCTGTCATGGGACTTCTCAGCCACCATTAATCATATGAGCCAATTCCCCTAATAAATTCCCTCATATCTATACACATATCCTATTGGTTCTGTCTCCCTAGGGAACCCTGACTAATGCAGATTTGGTGTTGGGGAAGCTGAGTATCAGTTCTTCTTACTTTATTCTTTACAGCACAATTGAAGAGATCTGTGAAACTCTTCCCTCGCAAAAAGGCTCTGATAAGTGTACACGGCTACTTAATGGCGAAAGATAAAAGTTTAAAAGCTAATTATCACTGGTGCTGCAAAAGCAGAAATTGCAACGGCCAGGCAATAATCAGGCTTTCAAATAGACAGTATATACTTACAAAATTTGTGGATCACAACCACTTTGCAAATAAAACTGGAGCAAGTGCTTTGAAGATCGCAGAAGTGAAAATACAGGCAAAAAATACAAGAAATCTCCCCTGCCAAATTATTCAATGGTGTATTATTTCTGCTCCTTCACACATAGTGCCAATTTGCTATGCTATATATTTTATCTTCACATCATTTCTAATACTGGAGATATAAATTGTGTAGAGACTTTTGGAGAGTTCTAATTAATTCTATGCATTTTTTTTTTGCAAACTGAACTCCACAGAAGTGCATTATCACAACACTGACTTCATGTGTAAGCTCTGGCTGTGTTCATCAAAACGTAGAAGCCAGGTGTGGTGGAGCACCTGTAGTCAGTCCCGGCTACTAGGGAGGCTGAGGTAGGAGGATCACTTGAGGCCAGGAGTTTGAGGCTGAAGTGCACTATGATCATGCCTGTGAATAGTCACTGCACTCCAGCATGGGCAACATAGCTAGAAGACTATGGTCTCTTTAAAAAAAGTTGAAACTGGCCAGGCACGGTGGCTCACATCTGTAATCCCAGCACTTGTGAGGCCAAGGCGGGCAGATCACCCAAGGTCAGGAGTTCGAGGCCAGCCTGGCCAATACGGTGAAATCCTGTCTCTACAAAAATTAATAATACAAAAATTAGCCAGGCGTGGTGGCGGGGCGCCTGTAATCCCAGCTACTTGGAAGGCTGAGGCAGGAAAATCGCCTGAACCCAGGAGACAAAGGTTGCAGTGAGCCGAGACCACACCATTGCACTTCAGCCTCAGCAACAACAGTGAAACTCCATCTCAAAAAAAAAAAAAAAAAAAAAAGGTGAACCTTCAATGAGATGTCCTTTTTTTATACTGTTTTTGTGAAAGATAAAATTCAACAATATCTCTGCTCTTCAGGAGACTGCACACACAGTGATGACCCATCCTTGTTTTTACTACCTCATCAAAAGACCTAGTTTGTCCATCATGGTATTTCAGAGGACCACAGTTACAAAATGTAACACCCATGCAACTACGGTTAGTATACTGAGTGATTAAACTTGCAAAATACATTTGTTACTATTTTATTGTGTAAAGTGGTGTACTAGGCTGTTCCTGCATTGCTATGAAGGAATACTTAAAAGAAAAGAGATTTAATTGGCTTACAGTTCTGCAGGCTGTACAGGAGGCATAGTGGCACCTGCTTCCAGGAAGGCCTCAGGAAGCTTCCAATCATGGCAGAAGGCAAAGGGGGAACAGGCACATCACATGATGAGGACTGAGCAAGAGAGAGTGTGAGGTGCCACACTTTTAAAACAGCCAGATCTCGCGAGAAGTCGCTCACCGTCTCGAGGACAGCATCAAGGGGATGGTACTAAACCATTCATGAAAAATCCACCCACATAATCCAATCACCTCCTACCAGCCTCCACTTCCAATATTGGGGATTACAATTCAACATGAGATTTGGGCAGGGACACATATCCAAACTATATTAAGTGGCCTATGAAGTGTTGTCATGTTTTTGTTTCTCAAATAAATCCCCTTTAAAAAAGGTAAATAAGTGGTTTTTCTGTTTGTTTATTGAAGACAAAGTCTTGCTCTGTTGCCCAGACAGCGCCATCACAGCTCACTCCAACCTCTGCCTCCCAGACCCAAGAGATCCTCCCACCTCAGTCTCCCAAGTAGCTGGACTATAGGTGCACGCTAGCTTGCTAATTTTTGTATTTTTTTGTAGAGACAGGGTTTCTCCACGTTGCCCAGGCTGATCTTGAACTCCTGGGCTCAAGCAATCTGCCCACCTTGGCTTCCCAAAATACTGAGATTACAGGTGTGAGACTCTGTACCTGGCCAAACAAGTGTCTTTTTTTTTTTTTTTTTTTTTTTTTTTTGAGACAGAATCTCACTCTGTCACCCAGGTTGGAGTACAGTGGCATGATCTCAGCTCACTGCAACCTCCGCCTCCCATGTTCAAGTGATTCTCGTGCCTCAGCATCCCGAGTAGCGGGGACTACAGGCACTTGCAACCATGCCTAGATAATTTTTATATTTTTAGTAGAGACGGGGTTTTGCCATGTTGGCCAGGCTGGTCTCAAACTCCTGAGCTCAAGTGATCTGCCCACCTAGGCCTCTCAACATGCTGGGATTACAGGAGTGAGCCACCGCACCTGGCCCAAATAAGTATTTTTTAAATAATGTTTTAAAATTATTTTTTCCAGAATTATATTGTTTGGATTTCGATATTTTGGGATTTCAGTATTTGGGATTATGGCATCAAGAACTGTGTCTTTTAGGCCAGGCGCAGTGGCTCATGCCTGTAATCCCAGCACTTCGGGAGGCTGAGGTGGGCAGATCACCTGAGGTCGGGAGTTTGAGACCAGCCTGGCCAACGTGGCAAAACCCTGCCAAGGTGGGCAGATCACCTGAGGTCAGGAGTTCAAGACCAGCCTGGGCAACATGGCGAAACTCTGTCTCTACCTGTATTTTTTTTTGTAAAAATACAAAAAAATTAGCCGGGTGTGGTGGCACGCACCTATAATCCCAGCTACTTGGGAGGCTCAGGCAGGAGAATCACTTGAACCCAAGAGACAGAGGTTGCAGTGAGCCGAGCACCACTGCACTCCAGCCTGGGCGACAGAACGAAAGTCCATCTCAAAAAAAAAAAGAAAAAAATAAAAAAAAGAACTGTCTCTTTCAGAATTATGGCCTAAACCCGTCTGAAACAACTATTCAAGAAGTCTTTGGGAGAGCTAACACCTACAAACATAAACTTCGGTAATATTTTATAAAATATTCTTAAAAATCACCTTTATCCACACACAAGACAGTTTTAAAAGCTTTGGAGACTGAGTCCAGCTCTGTCGCCAGGCTGGAGTGCAGTGGCACATCTCGACTCACTGCAACCTCCACCTCCCAGGTTTAAGCGATTCTCCCGCCTCAGCCTCCCAAGTAGCTGGGATTACAGGCACGCACCACCATGCCCAGCTAATTTTTGTATTTTTAGTAGAGACGGGGCTTCACCTTGTTGGCCAGGATGGTCTTAATTTCCTGACCTCATGATCCGCTGCTCACCTCGGCCTCCCAAAATGTTGGGATTACAGGTGTGAGCCACGGTGCCCAGCCTTTAAAAGCTTTTTTAACTGAAACACTAGAGTAACAATCTTGGCATTTTTAAACGTATATAATTATCCCTATATATAAAACTATTTTAACAAAAATAACTATTTTCATACAACCATTTTAACTCTAGAATAAAAATACTGTTATAGTGAGATTTTTTCAAATATTTAATTTAGTAGAGTCAAATGTTTAACAAAAATAAAATATTATGAAGTATATAGTATATATTTTAATAAAAGGCTAATAAACTGAATCAGGTCAATAAGAGAAGCAAAATACTGGTTTATAAAACTAAGGCCTTCAAGTGACAGGGGGCCATAGGAAAAAAACAACAAAACAAAAACTAAGGCTTTATTCATTTATAAGTGGCAAAAGAAAAAATTTCCTATTTCCCTATTCCCTAATGATTTAATGTAAACTAAAGCAAAGAGAATGCATTAGTTCACTCTTCCTTAGAAACCTACACCATCTACTAATTTGCTAATGAAATCAGATACATGAGTTCTACATGATCAGTGTTGTGACTTCACATTAGTAGAGACGCTACTTGAGTTGCACTGTCACTGGGTTCCAGAAAGAGAATTTCCTAACGAATCACTAAGAAAGCTTCTTCAACAGATACAGGACGGGCTAGTATCAAAATATAGAAAAAAAAATAAAGTAGAGATAATGCTTTGTCTGTTGAAAAATATTTATTAAACTTCTCTAAAAGGGATTACATAAATATATTATCTCAACTACTATAATTAGATGTCAATTCCAATTCCTTAGTAATATTTTCAAGATTTACCCCTTAAATATAGGCGTATGAAAAACCAAAAGCATCAACAAAAGTTTTATTTATATAAAAAGATTTATGCTGGAATGTTAAAATCTAATATTTTGATTTTGAAAGCAAGTTGATTTTTTAAAAACCCTGAAAACAGTAGAGTGAACTGGCATTCCTTGAAAAGCTGAACAAAATAAGTTTAGTAAAAACAAGTAATAAATTTATTAATTCAGAAAGGATC